>NC_000012.12:45187400-45338915 GCF_000001405.40 Homo sapiens | reverse complement strand
GTCTTTGTGAACTCGTTGTTAATTCCCCCAGTAGGATAAAATAGAATAATCAGGTCTTGCTTTTCAGAATTTCATTGTCCTCTCTGTTTTTAAGGCTTCAGCCCAGAGATACTTCCCATTTTGGAAATAAGAAGCAAGAATTGGATTCATTGCTCTTGGTGGTAATACTCAAAAATAAAACCAAATGTGCTTATACCAGCAACGCATTTCATAGCTGTAATTTGAAACTGCTGATTCTAATTTAATTTATTCCTTTTTACCTACAATCTTAGCATAAACAAGTAGACTGTAAAGCAAGGGAAAAGATAAAAATATAAAGACCTCCCTGCTTTAGTCTAAAATATTTAGGAGCTAAAGATAGATCTGACTTCACTCCCTAAAACAAAAGACAGAACACCTGCCAAAAGTTAGCTGGGAAGTAAAACCACCCAACACTGGCTGCCATATCTCTTACTGAGCCTATCTTAACATGAGGCTCAAGTTTCCAATTCATGAACTACCTGTTGCAAATGTCATTCCCAGGCAAACTTTC
The DNA here is from genome assembly GCF_000001405.40 of Homo sapiens. NCBI lineage: Eukaryota > Metazoa > Chordata > Mammalia > Primates > Hominidae > Homo > Homo sapiens. The sequence continues at coordinate 45,338,383 of NC_000012.12, read as the reverse complement.
CACGCTGTTCTGATTCCTCATAGTGCCCCTCACCTTCTGCTGTCCCTTTATTTCTTCAATTTGAAGAAGGTAAGCCAATTTTTAGTCTATGCAATCATGCCTTCCTCTTTATGAGGATTCATGAGACAAATTTTTCTCAGGAGGATCTTTCCTACCAGAACACTGTGTTGCTTTGGAACAACCAGTTTTGTTTTTATTGTGATGAAACTTTAAATTATGTTATTAATAAAATCCTCTTATATTCTTTGGCAACTAAGAAGTTGAGAGGCAAATTTGCAGCTGATCTCTAACTTCTGAACAAGAACTTATGGTTGATAATAAATCATTTTATTACTCTGACACATGGCTTCATTTTATTTTTCTGGCTTTTATATTTCTTTTACCCTGATTTAGTCTTTAATTACTTTCATTCTTGATATATTTCCATAGGTGACCTTAAATACTTTTTTTCCACTTCCCTCCTAACATTTATATTTATTTTAATTGATAAATAAAAATGTTATGTATAACATGTTTTAAAATATGCATATATAATGGAAGCCAAAATCAAGCTGATTAACATATGCATTTACACGTCACAAACTTTTGTGGTAAAAACACTTAAAATCTACTCCTTAGCAGTTTTCAAGAATATATTATCAAATAGAGTCAGCTGTACAATAGTTCTCCTAATCTTATCCCTCTTATCTAACTAAAATTTTGTATCCTTTGACCAACATCTCCCCAACATCCTCTCACCTCCAGCCCCTGCTAATCACTATTCTATTATCTACTTCTATGAATTCAACTTTTTTTACACTCAATATGTAAGCATCGAATACTATTTAATAAATTATAAATTCATTCATGCATTGCTTAACAACAGGGATACGTTCTGAGAATGTGATTTCATCTTTGTGTGAACACCATAGAGTGTACATATGAACATACACAAACCTAGAAGGTGTAGCCTACCATACACCTAGGGTATATGGAATGGCCTGCCGCTCTCAGGCTACAATCCTGCACTGCATGAGACTGAGCTGAACACCACAGGCAGCTGTAACACCATGGTAAGTATTTGTGTATCTTAATATAGAAAAGCTACAGTAAAAATACTGTATAAACATTTTACAGATGGTATACCAGTTTAGGGCAGTTATCATGAATGGAGCTTGCAGGCATGGAAGTTGCTGTGGGTGAGTCAGCAAGTGAGTGGTGACTGAACCTGAAGGCTTAAGACATTATGTGCACTACTGCAGACTTTATAACACTGCTCACTTAGCTTAAAACACAAACACACTCTACAGCTGTACAAAACTTCTTTCTTTATATCCTTATTCTATTGCAAATATTTTTCTATCTTTAATTTTTAACTTTTTAAACTTTTTTGTTGAAAACTAAGACACAAATACACACATTAGCTAGGCCTACACAGGGTCAGGATCATCAGTATCACTGTCTTCCACCTCCACATCTTGTCTCACTGGAAGGTCTTCAGGGGCAGGAACAGAAATAGAGCTGTCATCTCCTGTGATAACAGTGCCTTCTTTTGGAATACCTCCTGAAGTACCTGCCTGAGGCTGTTTTACAGTTAACTTCCTTTTTTTATTTATTTTTTATAAGTAGGAATATACTCTAAAATAATGATAAAAAGTATACTTTTAAAATATATTATAGTATAGTAAACACATAAACCAGTAACATAGTCATTTATTACCATTAACAAGCGTTCGGTACTATACATGATTGTATGTGCTATATTTTTATATGACTAGCAGCCCAGCCTAATAGGTTTGTTTATACCAGCATGACCACAGACATGTGAGTAATGCATTGCACTACCATGTTAAGACAGCTATGATGTCACTAGGCAACAGGAATTTTTCAGCTGTGTTACAATCTTAAGAGGCATCATGGTATATGTGGTACATTGTTGACTGAAACATCATTAAGCAACTTATGACCATACATAAATAATTTAATGTAGTATTAACATAAATAAGTAGGGTGCTAATAACTATAAAAAGTACACATTGTATATTAAAGCTAATAAATGAATGCTTTGAGTTATACTATACTATCAGTTATAATACTATCTTATTAGGCAAAAATAACCAAATACTTAATATGCATAAGACTTAATGAGGAACCAAGCCATATGATCACCTCAATAGATATAAGAAAAAGCATTTGATAAGCTTTAAAACCCAGTTATTATAAAAATGCTTAGCAATCTAGGACTAAAAGGGAACTCCTTTAACTTTTTAAAAGAAATCTATCAAAAATGTATGGCAAGTGTAATATTTAATAGTGAAATTTTAGAAACATTCCCATTAAAATCAGGAACAATACAATAGTGACTACTATGTGTATTGGTTTTGTTCAAGAGGTCATAGCCATTGCACTCAGACAAGAAAAAGAAAGTATAAATATGGCAAAGAAAGAACAAAATTGTCATCATTTGTAGACAATATGGTCTTCATTTGGGAAAATTAATAGTATTAGAAACTACTAAAACTAAAAAGAGCTTATCAAGGTTCTTAGCACTCACAGAAATCAATAGACTTCTTTTACACACAGTAAATCATAACTGCATTTAAAATGCCTCTGACAATAGCAACAAAAATTTTCAGTAATTGGAAAAAGTTAATAAAAATGTACAAGATCTGCATGGACACTACAGGTTGAATATCTCTTATCCAAAATGCTTGGAACTAGAAGTATTTCTAATTTTGGACTTTTTAAGAAATTGGAATATTTACATTATACTTACCAGCTGAGCATCCCACATCTGAAAATCCAAAATGATCCACTAAGCATTTCTTTTGAACGTCAAGTCAGCACTCAAAAAATTTTGCGTTTTGGTGCATTTTGGATTTGGGATGCTTAACCTGTATTATAAAGCTTTACTTAAAGGATAGTAGATCTCAATAAAAGGAGTGATATATCATGTTCATCATAGTAAAACTTTTTGGTAAGTTTTTAAACATTTCCCAAGAGATCTCATCCAGACTCTAGGAAAACTGTTCTGGTCTCATGATGATTAATCCAAAACAATGGATAACAGTTTTTAGAAGCTCACAGGCTCTATAACCAGTTAGTTGTCTCACGGTATTTGAAAGTTTGAATTAAATTATAATTAGATAAATTTAACTTTGATCACTAATTTTAAAAAAATTCTCTATCCTACAGTCTCCACTGGCCAGATCCTTTTGCCATACACTAAAGAATTCTTAAGGTCAGATATGAAATACAAATATATACTTCCATATATAAACTTTTCAACTTCAAGGACATAAATTTTCCATTAACTTTTAGGAATGGATAATTTTTTTAAAGTAAATAAATAAATCATATTCAGGGTTGTTCCCACTGTTTTTGTACTACCTAGACCTCTTCCCCATCTTCACCCTCATCTGAATTGTACCATTACTTGGTCACTAACACATCGGTTTGAAGGCAAGCATCAGACAAAACAAAATTCAAAAGATCAGTTCTGCCGATTGTTAGCAGTTCTGGAAGAAAGCAGCAATTACTAACAAAACTGAGCAAGAGGAGTTGGAGAAATATATGGGAATTTGTTTTATGTAAAACATCTTTGCTCTTTACAATATGGATCAAACATATTTAGATATATTTAATCATCTACTGTGCCAGATACTGCTGGCTGCCTACGGAACAGCCATTCTCCCCTCTTTATTACTAAGAAAAGCCTGCTTGTTCTTTAGGTATTCTGTGATCAGGTGACTCAAGAGATGAAAGACCAATCCTATGCAATAATTCCATTCATATTTCCAGTAGTTGATTTAGGAAGAGACTTGTAACAGACAATGAATTGTGAAAGGAAATCTGCAAAGGGCCCTTCCAGAGGAGCTTTCTTCCCTCTTAAAAAACAGCCCTGAGAAGGGGCATTCCTTCTCTCTGCCTCTGGCTACCTGGAGTTGCAGCAGCCATCTTAAAATCAAGGGAAGACAATTTAAGAGCCAAAATATTGAGGATGGCAGAGCAGGAGGATGGAATGACTTCATTGAGCCAATAAACTAATCCAGAAATGGCTGTATCTCTAGACTACTTAAATGAGAAAATAATTATTTCCTTTTAGCATTTAAGCCATTTTGAGTTTGGTTTTCCTGTTATTTGTGATTTAAAACATTCAAACATTCTGTGCCAAGCCCAGTACAGACTAAACGAGCGTTTGTTGCTGAAGCAACTTACAATCATCCTCATGTAAAATCTAAATGTAAATGGTTTATGCTTTTTAAAGGAAGGTATGTTTCTTAAGTGTTTTTGGTCATATGAGTGGCCCAAGTTACATGATATTTGGAGGTTTGGCTAGAAAATTATTTTCTTTTTGCTCAAAGGATGATACATCCTTTTAAATACTCTATGTTTTTGGTGTTTGTAGCCCTGTCACTTCTATCTTTCTCCAGCCCTATAAAGTGTTTAACAATATCCTTTAGATAAACTCTGGTGAAGTCAAGCTTGGGGTTGCTTTAGGAAATCAATATGGTTTACACATAAGTTTTTTTTCTTTCAAAGAAAACAGGATTTTGAATTGCCTTTCCTTGGTATTGTCCTAAATCCTCAATAAGGCCTGACAAGGAGTACAATGGAACTCACAAATGTTTTTCCAATGAAGAAAAACATGATTCCAAAGTTAAGCTTTGAATTTCGGTGAAGTATATATAAATTAAGTAATATGTGCAAATACAGTCTGAAAACACTTCAAAGCACAGCTTATAAAAATGAACATCAAGGTATATCAATCCATGAGTTCAAGGATTGCCAAAATTAATGATGATTTTTTTCCTCCTTATTTATGAGAGTTACCTTGGGACCTATGTTTCTGTCTGAAGCAAATGCAGAACTGATTAATGTAAGCAGCTCTAGGGCCCTTCATCATGGCAGTAAAGCTCTTGTTTAAAACCAGAACTGTTTCTTTTATACTTTAATGTATTAGATCTGTTTAACTTACTTTATATATTGCTCAATCCAGATCCATTGGCATATGGATACTTAATGAATATTTGATGATGGTGACTATGACTGCATAAAATATCTTAGTGTCCACAGGAAAATTAAAGTACCCTAAGCTGTTTTACTTTAGTGATAAAATTGTATAATAACAGGAAAGTCATGCCTTTTCATATCAGGGCATTATTTTAAGAAAATCCCAAATGGGAAGATACAAGAATTAAAATTTATGATCTAATAATGCTAAAAAATTATGTAACATCTATATGTTATTTTATTTAATCTTAACCATAATTATATAGGCTAAGTATTAGGATCCAATTTCCCTGAATCTAAGATGCCATTGATTGTATGGTGAGCCAATATTTTATGTATTAATAAGAAAAAATTCAACAATGAAATTATGATACAGCATTTGTAAGATCCAACTGATTTTAGAGATGTCAAACATAAAAAAGAAAAAAAAAATTGATTTGAAAATTTGCCTAAGTCACATAGCTACCCAGCCAGAAACGATACTTTCCACTCTTCTGAGTTCTGACCAGTAGCATATGAGCACAACTGATGTAGTTACTTTGAGGCCAAAGTGGTAAAGCAGCATGAGTACTTTCTTCATCTTATCTACCATTTATCTATGTTGATATTCGGGATGACCCGGGAGTCTACCTGGCGAATATGGCAGAGCTTCTGTCAGGCTTGGGTTTCTTGATAACTGCAAAGGACAGAGGCCCAACCCCAAACTATGTGCCAAACAGGGATGCTACATTTGACCTTGACGTGAACAATAAACACTCTGTTTTTGTGTTAAGTCCCTGTCATCTGGGAGCTTGTTTGTTACAACTAGAATTACTCCAACAGAGTGGCAGAATTAGAACTTGAAGGTCAGTTTCCAAAGTCTGGGCTCATTCTATTCCACCATGCAAATATAAAATGCCAAACTTAACCCCCTCTGAAACAAACAGATGAATAAAACAGTACTGATTACTTCATTTTTTAAAAGGTTTTATCGCTTGATTTGAAAGAATGGGCAAAAATCAATAGATTTAAAGTTGGCATATTTCAAGGAGACAGTCTAGACAGGGACAATTAAAGTTTTGTGTGTGTGTGTGTGTGTGTGAGAGAGAGAGAGAGAGAACAGAGAGAGAGGGAGAGAGCACACATATATGTGAAAAGGGGAAGAAAAAAAGGATGAGGAATGATTTCTAAAGTGGGTGAAAGTAACACATATATGCAATCTTTTTTGGTCTGTTTTAGTTTAATGCAGTTTAGGTACAGGTAAAAACGTTCCAGGGAGTTGTTTATAAACCTGCCCTACTGTTTTAATATCCTGAGATAAAGATGGCCTTTTACTTAAAAAAGCTTGGTGCAAAGGAAAGGGAGAAGAGAGCAGCTTGACTGGCAATGCAATGAATGAAAGGGAGGTAACAGAGAAAAATGCGAGGTCAAGAGCAGTCTCCATATTCAAGACAGTTTGAACCATGGCTTCACCACTTGCTAGACTAGATTCCATGACCTTGTATATTCATCTAACCTAAGGGTCATCTCTATCATCCATAAAATGGTGTGATTATAGAACCCACTTCATGCTGTATGAAAGGAGAACACGTATGCAAATGTATGTACAATACCTGAGTGAGCACACATTGAAAGCTAGTTGTTATTACACTTGTCATTATTAATCATTAGCTTCCTATGCCACCTAATTGAATAGCCAGGCATGCTTAAGGTAAATCTCTTCTGTACAATAGAAAGTCCAATTCCTTGAAAGAAAGTCTGCTTTCAGCTGTGAAACCAAATGAGGTTAAGAGCCTGAGGAAGTTTCTGATTCATATTTAAAAAACGTTTTGTTAATATGCTTTGAGAAAACATGAGCAGAGAAAATATGAAACTGTTTTGTGTATGATATTTCAACATCAGTTTCACTTTATTACTTATACAAAATAGCAGTTTTTTCATGTTACAATATAAGAAATAAAAAGAAAGGAAAATAGCATAAAAACTTACCCTTTGTTTTTCATTTGTACCCTTTTTATTGGTCTCTTTTCTGCTTTCATCCTCATATACTAGAACAAAGTCAATTCTTCGCTGGCCATCATTAAAAAAGAGGGAGTCAGGTTTTCCATTAAATTCTTCCTGTGTAAAACAGAAAAACAAATTGTAATATATAATTTTTTGAAAAAATGCTGACTTATAAGTGTTAATTTTCAAGCTTTAATAGGTTTATTGTGAAAGAGAAATACATCCACTACTAGTTAGCTTACCAAACAGTCATGGCCACTATGACTGACATGGCAAACATGGTCTATTCTTGGTGAAAGGAAGTATTTGAATTGAACAGTACAGCATTATTCTATAAACTCATGAGAACATGTCAATATTACATATGTAACACAATCATCCCAGAATTATTTTCACCTCAAGCAGCAAAGGCATATCAAGATTGAAAACGAACATAGTAAAAAAAACTGCCTATCCAAGGGAGTGAAGTTTATTTAACAAGAAGAAAAATCTAAGACAAAGCACTGTTGATGAAAATCTCATCCTTCTTATGTCTTATTTTCTAACCTTTTACCATTTTTCATGACTTCTTTTTGGACTTACTTCACCGCTTTATAGAAGGTATCATGGGACAACTTCAAACAAATGCCAAAAGATACTCCCATATAAACAAAAGCTGCACTAGTCATTGGTGTTCGTCCCCTAATCTACAAATGATGTCCCTCATTCCTAGCAAACAAATTTTAAAAAACCAAAAGAACCAGCAACAACAAAATATAGAAGCCTTTAGTTTAGAGCTTAAAATCCTTATGGTTTAAAAGGAAATGATGGCAGAACAGAGACCAAATACAAAAATACCTGTGAACATATGGAGTTGGATAGAATTGTTCTAATTTACTCTGAGGAATGATTTGAATTTGTGTTCTCACACAGCTTGTCAGAATGCTCATGTTAATTTTGTTAAGAATCGACTGCTTTTTAACTACGTGATACTGAAAAGTTTTCTATGATTCATTAAAAACTGATAAGATTTCATTTTGCAATCATTTGTATAACTTGTACATTGTGTTCATTAAATGTGATTAATTCTCCTCTTCATTATCGATTAGCACAGAAGCTACACAATTTTACCACACACCACTTTCTCCTTTTCTTCTCACTTTTGAAAACATATTTTTTGATACTTATATGAAACGTGATATTTATCATTCCTTTCCCCTTTTCCACTGTGGAACACATGAAGGTTTATTACCAGTATCTGAAGTTCCTAATTGGCAGGTTTTTTCACCAGCAGAATGAATGCTGCTGATGTAACCCATCTCAATGCACCTTCATCCAGTGCATTTAACCAGGAATTCTAAGCACAAACAGCGTGACTGCCATGAGACCTTTCCTATCCAGGGCAATAAAGGGCTAGGAAAACAAAGACACATCCATGTCTTAGGCTGATATCACTATCCAATTCTTATATTTGCAATTTCAGTTATTTCAAATCAATAAACTTTAAGAGTATTTAAAACTATATGAAAATGCTGAGCCATGTCTTTTTCATTTCAGCCACAGAGTCCTTTAGGTCCATTCAATTTCTCTTACTTTCAATGAGGACTATACTATGGGTGACAACCAGGGCTATTGCTAGAGGAAAATTGTGCATGGAGAAAAATATATATATATAATTTCTCAGAAGAACAAAGGGGAAGTGGGGTCCAGTGGAATATAGTCAGGAAAACCTGGTCATCATTGCAAACATCTGAAAAATGTACAAAAAGCAACTTGTTCTCTGTAGCCCACATTCTGTTGCCTTTGGTGGAGTCCAGCAGGAGCTCACGGAAGTTAAGTTCTGAAGAATTAGGCCTGGAATGAGAACCACATCTGTACATGGCTCCAGGCACTCTTCCCTTGCACAGTGGCACAGGTTGGCAGTTAGCTCCCAGATAATCTGGTCTGCATGCAAACCTCCCATGTGTGATGCAAGACCATGGCCCTTTATTTGGAGGAAAACCTCACTGACTTGGCAACATTTGCCTGTGTGTAATAAGTAGGTCAAACTCCAATATGGTACTATTAGAATGCAATACTAGAGAAAAGAGTGCCAGTCTCTACTGCTGTGAAATCCAGGTTTCCTATCTCTTGGCAGAAGACATTCTACCACATAATGGGGAAAAAGGGAGAAACTAATATCACTAGCCTGGAAAGAATATGTAACAAATAACGGAACTGGCCTAAATAAAAACAGATAGTTAAAATGCTGAAGTTAAATTATTTGTCCAAGATCTGAATAAAAGCAGTCAGATTAGGATCTTTGCTCAAATTCTTGTTCATGTGTAAGGGTGTTTGAAAGTTGCCTTGGACAGCAAGTGAGATTGACTTACTGTATGGGAATTCCCAAATAGCCTATTCCTCCCCTGACACGGTTGTCATTTACTGAGATTGGAGAGTATTCCAGGCTCATTTGGGTTAATGGTCTCTCAACCTTTACGCCTAGCAGGATGCAAGAAAGGTTTACTGTCTAACAATAAAGTTGAAGAATTACACTACGAAAAGTAAGTATCAAAACATTCACATAATTTGAATTGTAACTGATGTGCAAATATGGAAAAAACATGGGGCTCTCTACAATTTTTAAGACAAGAAAAAGTAGTTAATTCCAAGAAGAACACAAAGGGAAAAAAACTGTAATAATAGACAACTACTAAAGTAAAAATATGGAATCTTCTATTTTTCAGTAAATTGTGAATCCAGGTACATAGCAAGTTCTAGGGAAACAAAAGATTAGAAGCAAAAGCCTTTACGTAAATATTTAGATTTCTCAAAATATGAAACATAATAAAATTTTATTTACATGCTATGCAGTTATGAATGACACATATTCCTAAGTGTTTTTCCTAACTGTTGCAGAGCTCAGGCATCAGAGTCAAGGCATGAGTAATAAGTAGAACGTTTTTTCCAACAAAACGGTGCAAAAATATTGCAGAGATAGAAGACACTAGATCAAATTTTTTTCATTTTTATCAAAATGCAAACTACAAAGTTCAAGAAAAACAGTAATAATTGAGCCAAAAAAGTGCCAAGAACTGCAGGTATGGAAGGCTGACTTCCGAAGGTGGAAAGACAAGTATTGTGGAAGCTGGGGTGGGGAGGAAAGGAAGTAACATAGTAACTCTGGACACACAGGGGAGCCACACAGGAAGTCAGCTCAGTAAATGGTGTGTGCTGTAGGGAGTAAATGAGCTTGTTTTTGACCTGACCAGGCATTCAGGAATGTGCAGACAGCAAAGAAGCACAGTGGAAAAGGAGCCCATTCAAGGATGAAAATGCATCCTGAAGCTTGGACTCCAAGTCTGTTTTAGAGTCAAATGTGTCAGGATGTTCCAAGAACATCCCTTGGTTGTGACTCTATGATGATCAAGGTGTACTCAGGAATGGCCCAGAATGATTTTTGTACAAGTCACACTGTCTGCTTCCTGCCCTGTTAAACCACACTATCAGCTTCTGAAGATTAGTGGCCAGGTCTGGCTTGTTCACCGTGAGTTCTCTGCTGAGAACTCAAGGGCTCAGGTTTATTTTTTTCTTAGAATAAAATTTTTTTTTCTGATAAAATATATACTCAACACAAAAAAATTCTGAAGATCCAAAAATGTATACAGAAAAAATAAAAGTCATATGTAATCCCATCTCCTAGACATGAGCTAAGTTTCTTAAAATTTTGGAGTACATCCTTTCAGGCTTAGATGGACATACATGCATGCAAGAGCACACAAACACACTAACCAAAATGATACCATATTATACATACTGTTTTATAAACATCTATTATAGACACTTGCTAGCTTTATAGAAAGCTTTACAACATGTGTAATAGCTGCAATATAATTTAGTAAAACAGTTCCTCCACTGATGAGCACAGAAGTAGTCTCCAATTTTCTGCCTTTATAAACACTGCTGCAATGAGCATCTTTGTACATATGTATCTGTGCACATGTTCAATTACTAAATTCCAGAAGCAGATTTTAAGTGGCACAGCCTTTTTAAAAGCTTTTGATACACTGGTTGCTAAACTGTCATCCAAAATATTTATAAAATCAACGTATCCACCAGAGGGTATGAGTGCTTTGCTCCACCCTCATTTGACTTCAGTGTTTTCTACTTTTCCCAATATGATAGTCAAAATATGTATTTTGTTTTTTTCATGTACACCTTTTAACTAGAGAGCTCTAACTTTGCTATGGATACTGCCCAAATGAAATACTCTTTTTTTTTGTGGAGTGCTTATTACTATCTTTCACTTATTTGAACAATCTTATTATTTAAACACTTTTCAGTAGATTGTCTTGGGTCTTCTTACTGATGAAATCCTGAAAACCACACAGGTAACTGAGTAAGTGGGGTAAAGGGCAATACAGACTAGGCCTATATGATTCCATGTGGTTCAGTATGGGACTTCTGTCTGCTAAGAGAAGACTGCTAAGTGGGGGAGGGCACCAAATATCTCTTCAAAGGTAAGCACTCAACCTGAGTTATGGAGAGACTGGTTATGAGAGGTTCCTATGCATCCCTGGATGGTGCTTGCACCAAGCAATCCAAACCCAGAAATGGTGTGATTTACAGCCACTGTGAACCCTGGTATCCATTTGAACAGGTGGCTGAATAAGACAGCTTCAGAAGGGGCAGCAGCTGCTGGGAGTGGATGGTGTCCCAGCACAATCTGGGGTTGTGGTCATGAAAAACAAAATAGGAAATGATGTATACAGTGACCTTGAAAGAGTTCATTTTTACTAAATTAGTCCCAAAAGGAAAAGGGAGAAATATTTCAGGGCACCGTCAAGCAGCCCTGGGTTTAGCAAGGTGAGCATGTTTTCTGTAATGTGGACACTCAACTGGAATGTGGCATGCTAATTTTAGAAGGGCACCAGCCTGTTGACCGACTTTCCATTATAATTTACATGCCGCCTGCATAACTACCAGGTTATCAATTGTGTATTTTGACTCACATATTTCTTTAGATTCAAAACATACTACTTATTATTGGTACACAAATAATTTCTGTTGCAAGTTAAAATATGTAGAAATTCTTAAAAAACAGTCTTGTGTTTTATATAAGTAAATGGCTATAACTAGTCCTGAACTTGTTATTTTCAGTCATTTCTCATCAAGGATAGATGTAGTTCACTTATAAATACCATTAGATTGTGCCATGAAATGCCTTGTATGCAAGGGAATGTTCACATATCAATGGCTTCCTGATTTTACCTCTGTTTCCATTTGCCTGTGTTAAACTCTAGAGTTCTATCATTAGAATACCACATTTTAGACCCTGGTAAGGATGAAGGCGCAATGCCTTGAGCATAATGAGTATTAAATATTTCCCTCTAGTTCATGCCAAGGAAGCAGTACTTTTATCAAATGGAGTTCTCATAGGATTTTCAGTATTCTTTAAATTTCTGAAAAAGGGTAGAGGAAATATGAAAACAGAACTTTGAAATGACATTTAAAATAAAACTTCCTTAAATGTCATTAATTAACAAGGGTGGAAGATGCTGAGTTAGGAGCCTTCTTATGGGGTAGAGGACTCTTACTGAATCTTTTTCGTAAACCCACAGAGTTATAATTGTAATTTTCATTAGCATGACTAAATATATATATATTTGGCTTTCCTGTTTTCCCACAGACTTTTGATCATTTTAAAAATCTCAATTTAGCCTTCCTTAGAGGTGATCTGCAGAAAAGCAGAACAATAAATAGTCAATAAATGAAAAGAAAAAAATGTGAAAATGCCTATAGTGGTTGTTTTTATACTCTCCTTTTCTAGAAGACATCATCATCCATTTGCACTGTTCTCATCTGGAAGTGGTAATGTTGGTAAAAGAAATGTAGGAGAGATCAAACTTTAAGATATTCCCAATAAAGCATTACAAAAGATAGATATAATAAAACAAGACAGGTGGTAAAAAAGGACATTTGTGAGAGTGAATGATTATCCTCCTAGAGGCTAAACTCTTAAGGTTCAAATATCCTCAAGGCATCTTGCTTTAATATCCACTATGGACTTAATATCCAGCCATGCTTACTTCAAGCTTTTTTGACCCTGTGAGCATTTCCAGTTTGTACCGTCTCCTGAGGAATAATGATCTGTAGGTTTTCCACTTAGACAAGAGAGTTGTCCTAAATTACATTTCTAAACTTTTAAAGAAATAGCTCCAATCTTATATTCTGGAATCAGTTGGAACCAAAATAATATTGCTACAACCAGATTCTTTATGATTTAGTGAACTTTCACAATATTCTATCCACAAACTTTAAGATCCTTAGTTTTATGGAACAACAAATGTAGCTTGACTTCGTAACTGTATGTTCCCCTCTGCTCATCCTCTGATTCTTCTTAATTATATACTTCAACTATCTTTAGCTTACCTATGTTTGGTTCTTAGACCACAAAACTGGTCACGACTCACAAATACCAAATCAGTCACCAAATCGATAGCTGTGAATTGCCCACCTTTTCTAAGTCACCTGTGTCACATGTGACTGTGTCAAGTTAGTAGACACCTGTGTCAGGTTAGCAGTCCCTCAAATTTTAAGCTATAGCTATTTAGACTTAAGCTGAGATGAAGAAGATAAGTAAGGTGTAAGTGGGGGCATAACCAAAGTAGGAAGTCTTGGGTTCTTTACTAGGTTCTCAGATAATTCTTCTGCAGCTTCCCTTAATGTTACAATCTGTCACTCCCATAGTGACACATGTTTGAAAGTCATCTAAGGGTTTTTCCTGGTACAATTTCTTTGGTGAACTCATCTTTTACAGTAGGTTTCCATTTCCAGTCTTAGAACTGCCCTGGGCTATTTTTAGCTTTTCAGCTACTCAAGAGTGCTGTCATAATCTGTAATTCCCTAGTCAACCGCTTATGTCACATGTACCCCTGGGCCATAATCTCAGACGACTGCTCTGGAAATCAACGTTTGCAACTTCATTCAAAGCTAGAGGAAGAAAAACAAATCAGAGTACCTAGTGCCCAGCAAAGCAAAGGATTGTGACGATTCCTACCAGTTGATTCATGTTTTATATAGATATTACTTTTCTTCCTTTAACTCAAAAAGCAGTTTACAAGAATGGCTGTTCTTTGTGGTGTGGAAATAGGGATGCACAGATGTTTCCAAAACACAATTTTAAAAAATGAATGTCTCATTTAAAACAGTGGTGCAGGCCAAGCGTGGTGACTCACGCCTGTAATCCCAGCACTTTGGGAGGTCGAGGTGGCGGATCACCTGAGGTCAGGAGTTCGAGACCAGCCTCAACATGGAGAAACTCCGTCTCTACTAAAAATACAAAATTAGCCAGGCGTGGTGGTGCATGTCTGTAATCCCAGCTACTCGGGAGGCTGAGGCAGGAGAATTGCTTGAACCTGGGAGGCGGAGGTTGCAGTGAGCCAAGATCGTGCCATTGCACTCCAGCCTGGGCACCAAGAGCAAAATTCTGTCTCAAAAAAAAAAAAAAAAAAATACAACAACAACAACAAAAAAAAACAGTGATGAAAAAATGTTTTCAGCTGACTATAGATAGTAAATAAAAAAAAAACCTTACAAAACTCTCTTAAAAGAGGATATATTGAACATAAGCTATTATTATTTAGCAGGTAAATGAAAAGAGTCCAAAATGAGAATAAAGAACACAGACTTTGGTATCTGGCAGAGCTACTAGCTTCAAACCTTAACTATGCCATGTACAACTAGCCATGTGCCTTTGTGTGTATATTGTATCTCTTTAAAACTAAACTGACTCATTTGTAAAAAGGGAAAATCATAGAAAGGCAGGGTAATTGTGAAGATTAAGTGAGATGATGCATGCAAGGCAATGGCACAAAACCTGGAATATAGTAAAAGCTCAATAAATGTGAGCTTTCACAATGGTATTCTCTACCTTAATAGGTAACCGTTCTTTATTCATTACTACCTGTGTTGGGTACATTCACATAGCTCATAATCATCAGAAACTTCCACCTGCATCTTGCTTCTTCTCTCTGCTGTTACTCAGATTATCAGGGATTACTTCTTTTAGCTGTCTTTAATAGGTGTTGTGTTACCCTATTACCTGCTGCTTCTAACATGCTTTGAATTGGGCAACCAGATTAACTGAATTTGTTGAAATTCTCTCAAATTAAGGAGTAGTGCTTTGGTTTTGGACATCAGAGGCTTTTAGTCTTTCTTCAGATTCTGAGTAAAGTGTGATAAAGAGGAGGGCCTTATTCCACAAAAGAATAGAATATGTTAAGAGCGATTAAATTGTATTCTCCCCTTCTCCTAGCCTCTTTCAAAAGAAGACGTAAGACATCTGGTGTCAAGAAGAATAAATACAATACCATTAAAGAATTATAAACAGAACCAGAGCCAGAGAAGGTAGGAGGAAGAAAATGTACTAACCATTGAGACAATTGTAGTTGTCGTGATCTTAACATGAAAACTGGCACAAAGCCTCTTGGCAGCAGGGCAAAAGGAAAATACGTTCAATGATATAGTCCTGCTATTGGAAAAAAGGAAGCATTCTGATTTTTTGGGAGGATAAAGTCATATGTGGGACCATATATAAAAGCACCCAATTTTTTTTACATTTCCCTAATAGACAATGTCCTTGGCAAGCAGTTGGGGTTATGCAATATAAAATATAGGTGACCTTTGACTTTTTCATCTTTAGTTCTCATATTGCCTCTACCTCTGAGGCAGTTACTTTAGCTTTCAATCTGTTCCATCTATTGCCATCGTTCTAGTCTGTGCTCTTGACCGCTACTAATGAGGTTACAATTAACAACCCACTGGTCTCCTTGCATCCAGTTCTCCTGTTCACCAACTTACCTTTTACACTGCCACCAGAAAGATGTTCCTAAACCAATATGCTCAGCAAGTCACAGAAGGGGTCAAAAACCATTAGTTACTCTCAGCAACCTCTAGAGGAAGTCCAAACTTTTCAAATGCCTTATAATCTGATTATAGGCCACATTTTATAAACCATTACTCCCCATTCCCAACCTTCCAACCCAACTATCTTTCTCATTAGTCTTTTGACTATGTCATGGTCCTTCCTCTCTCTACTCCTTTGCTCCCATGGTTTCTCTGTCCTGAAATCCTCTCCTGCTCTCCTAACCACCTATCCAAATCTTAACTCTCCTTTAAGGTCCAGCTCAGTTCTTCCTTGGAAGAACTTCCAAGCCTTCCTACCAACTTGGGTTCATGTTTCTTTCTCTCTTCTCGTATCACCCTCTGTGCCAATGGATGTGTGCTCCACAGACCTCTGGGGAACCTGCAAGATCAAAACCATTTTCATAATAATACTAGATGTTATTTGCCTTTCTAACTGCATTACCATCTGCAATGATGGTGCAAAAGTCATGGTGGGTAAAACTGCCAGCACCTTAGCACAATCCCACATTGGCACCAGACTGGACTACCAGGCATTCTTCACCACCACATGCTCACAGTGAAAAAAACAAGTTGTCACTTCCCTTAAGAATGTTCTTGATGGCGCAGTAATAAGTACTAACTTTACTAAATCTTGAGCATTGAGTACACATCTTTTTAATATTCTGTGGGGAGAAATGGAAGTACCCATTCAGCATTTCTGTTGCACACAGAAGTATGATGATTGTCTCAAGGGAAAGGGATTGCAGGATTTTTGAGTTGTGCATTAAAACTGCCTTTTTTTTCCCACAGAATACCATTTTTACTTGACAGATGACTGACACAAAACTTGGTTACACAGACGAGTATTTAGCAGATACTTTCTCGAAAATGAACAACACGCGACTGTCATTTCAAGGAAAACAACTGACAACATTTCCTGTTAGTGACAAAATACAAGTTTTCAACCAAATATTAGAATTTAGGACAATTAAATTCACCACTGTGAATTTGACAGCTTCTTAATTGTCAATGACTTTTCTGTTGAGACTGAAGGTAATGTTAACACATGTGATTTTTTTTCATATCATATAATGAAATGAATAAACATTTGTAAAATCTACTTAACTTAGTGAATCGATACCTTCCAACTGACCTAAGCATGGTGGCAAAAATCATGCTTGGGTAAAGGTCCTTTCAAAACGCAAGGCAAGTAGCGAAAATTTATTAATACAGTTTCAACATTCCACATTGCAACTAACCTTTATAAACTACCACTTGTTGAGTTTCATTGTGCAATCCAAGAAGAACATCCACAATTATCTGAAAAGGCTTTAAAATACGCTTCCTTTTACTGACTACCTGTCTATGTAAGACTGAATCATCTTCATTTACTTCAACCAAAACAATATATTGCAACTTTTAAGTGCAGAAGCAGATATAAGAATCCAGCTGTCTTTCCAGACTGGCAAATTGGATAAAGAGTTAAGACCCATCAGTGTGCTGTATTCAGGAAACCCATCTCACGTGCAGAGACACACATAGGCTCAAAATAAAGGGATGGAGGAAGATCTACCAAGCAAATGGAAAACAAAAAAAGGCAGGGGTTGCAATCCTAGTCTCTGATAAAACAGACTTTAAACCAACAAAGATCAAAAGAGACAAAGAAGGCCATTACATAATGGTAAAGGGATTAATTCAACGAGAAGATCTAACTATCCTAAATATATATCCACCCAATACAGGAGCACCCAGATTCATAAAGCAAGTCCTTAGAGACCTACAAAGAGACTTAGACACCCACACAATAATAATGGGAGACTTTAACACCCCACTGTCAACATTAGACAGATCAACGAGACAGAAATTAACAAGGATATCCAGGAACTGAATTCAGCTCTGCACCAAGTGGACCTAATAGATAGCTACAGAACTCTCCACCCCAAATCAACAGAATATACATTCTTCTCAGCACCACACCGCACCTATTCCAAAACTGACCACGTAGTTGGAAGTAAAGCACTCCTCAGCAAATGTAAAAGAACAGAAATTATAACAAACTGTCTCTCAGACCACAGTGCAATCAAATTAGAACTCAGGATTAAGAAACTCACTCAAAACCGCTCAACTACATGGAAACTGAACAACCTGCTCCTGAATGACTACTGGGTACATAACGAAATGAAGGCAGAAATAAAGATGTTCTTTGAAACCAACGAGAAAAAAGACACAACATACCAGAATCTCTGGGACACATTTAAAGCAGTGCATAGAGGGAAATTATTAGCACTAAATGCCCACAAGAGAAAGCAGGAAAGATCTAAAATTGATACCCTAACATCACAATTAAAAGAACTAGAGAAGCAAGAGCAAACACATTCAAAAGCTAGCAGAAGGCAAGAAATAACTAAGATCAGAGAAGAACTGAAGGAGATAGAAACACAAATAACCCTTCAAAAAAATCAATGAATCCAGGAGCTGGTTTTTTGAAATGATCAACAAAACTGATAGACCGCTAGCAAGACTAATAAGGAATAAAAGAGAGAAGAATCAAATAGACACGATAAAAAATGATAAAGGGGATATCACCACCAATCCCACAGAAATACAAACTACCATCAGAGAATACTACAAACACTTCTACGCCAATAAACTAGAAAATCTAGAAGAAATGGATAAATTCCTGGACACATTCACCCTCCCAAGACTAAACCAGGAAGAAGTTGAATCGCTCAATAGATCAATAACAGGATCTGAAATTAAGGCAATAATTAATAGCTTACCAACCAAAAAGAGTCCAGGACCAGATGGATTCACAGCCGAATTCTACCAGAGGTACAAGGAGGAACTGGTACCATTCCTTCTGAAACTATTCCAATCAATAGAAAAAGAGGGAATCCTCCCTAACTCATTTTATGAGGCCAGCATCATCCTGATACCAAAGCCTGGCAGAGACACAACAACAAAAAAAGAATTTTAGACCAATATCCCTGATGAACATCGATGTGAAAATCCTCAATAAAATACTGGCAAACCAAATCCAGCAGCACATCAAAAAGCTTATCCACTGTGATCAAGTAGGCTTCATCCCTGGGATGCAAGGCTGGTTCAACATATACAAATCAATAAACGTAATCCAGCATATAAACAGAACCAAAGACAAAAACCACATGATTATCTCAATAGATGCAGAAAAGGCCTTCGACAAAATTCAACAGCTCTTCATGCTAAAAACTCTGAATCAACTAGGTATTGATGGAATGTATCTCAAAATGATAAGAGCTATTTATGACAAACCCACAGCCAATATCATACTGAATGGGCAAAAACTGGAAGCATTCCCTTTGAAACCTGGCACAAGACAGGGATGCCCTCTCTCACCACTCCTATTCGACATAGTGTTGGAAGTTCTGGCCAGGGCAATCAGGCAGGAGAAAGAAATAAAGGACATTCAATTAGGAAAACAGGAAGTCAAATTGTCCCTGTTTGCAGATGACATGATTGTATATCTAGAAAACCCCATCGGCTCAGTTCAAAATCTCCTTAAGCTGATAAGCAACTTCAGCAAAGTCTCAGGATACAAAATCAATGTACAAAAATCACAAGCATTCTTATACACCAATAACAGACAGAGAGCCAAATCATGAGTGAACTCCCATTCACAATTGCTTCAAAGAGAATACCTAGGAATCCAACTTAAAAGGGATGTGAAGGACCTCCTCAAGGAGAACTACAAACCACTGCTCAATGAAATAAAAGAGGACACAAACAAATGGAAGAACATTCCATGCTCATGGGTAGGAAGAATCAATATCATGAAAATGGCCATACTGCCCAAGGTAATTTATAGATTCAATGCCATCCCCATCAAGCTACCAATGACTTTCTTCACAGAATTGGAAAAAACTACTTTAAAGTTCATATGGAACCAAAAAAAAGCCCGCATTGCCAAGTCAATCCTAAGCCAAAAGAACAAAGCTGGAGGCATCACATTACCTGACTTCAAACTATACTACAAGGCTACAGTAATCAAAACGGCATGGTACTGGTACCAAAACAGAGATATCGACCAATGGAACAGAACAGAGCCCTTAGAAATAATACCACACATCTACAACTATTTGATCTTTGACAAACCTGAGAAAAACAAGCAATGGGGAAAGGATTCCCTATTTAATAAATGGTGCTGGGAAAATTGGCTAGCCATATGTAGAGAGCTGAAACTGGATCCCTTCCTTACGCCTTATACAAAAATTAATTCAAGATGGATTAAAGACTTAAATGTTAGACCTAAAACCATAAAAACCCTAGAAGAAAACCTAGGCAATACCATTCAGGACATAGGCATGGGCAGGGACTTCATGTCTAAAACACCAAAAGCAATGGCAGCAAAAGCCAAAATTGACAAATGGGATCTAATTCAACTAAAGAGCTTCTGCACAGCAAAAGAAATTACCATCAGAGTGAACAAGCAACCTACAGAATGGGAGAAAATTTTTGCAATCTACTCATCTGACAAAGGGCTAATATCCAAAATCTACAAAGAACTCAAACAAATTTACAAGAAAACAAACAAACAACCCCATCAAAAAGTGGGCAAAGGATATGAACTGACACTTCTCAAAAGAAGACATTTATGCAGCCAACAGACACAGGAAAAAATGCTCATCATCACTGGCCATCAGAGAAATGCAAATCAAAACCACAGTGAGGTATCATCTCACACCAGTTAGAATGGCGATCATTAAAAAGTCAGGAAGCAACAGGTGCTGGAGTGGATGTGGAGAAATAGCAACACTTTTACACAGTTGGTGGGACTGTAAACTAGTTCAACCATTGTGGAAGTCAGTGTGGCGATTCCTCAGGGATCTAGAACTAGAAATACCATTTGACCCAGCCATCCCATTACTGGGTATATACCCAAAGGAATATAAATCATGCTGCTACAAAGACACATGCACACGTATGTTTATTGCAGCACTATTCACAATAGCAAAGACTTGGAACCAACCCAAATGTCCAACAATGATAGACTGGATTAAGAAAATGTGGCACATATACACCATGGAATACTATGCAGCCATAAAAAATGATGAGTTCATGTCCTTTGCAGGGACATGGTTGAAGCTGGAAACCATCATTCTCAGCAAACTATCGCAAGGACAAAAAACCAAACACTTCATGTTCTCACTCATAGGTGGGAATTGAACAATGAGAACACCTGGACACAGGAAGGGGAACATCACACACGGGGGCCTGTTGTGGGGTGGGGGGAGGGGGGAGGGATAGCATTAGGAGATACACCTAATATAAATTACGAGTTACTGGATGCAGCACACCAACATGGCACATGTATACATATGTAACAAACCTGCAGGTTGTGCACATGTACCCTGGAACTTAAAGTATAATAAATATATATATATATATATACATATAAAAAGAATCCAGCTGTCTTTTCTTAAAGAGATCTGCAAAATGTATAAAAAATGATACCCTTCTTACTGTTTTAGAAGACATTCTACATATTTATATTAATGTGTATGTTATATTTACATGAATTAATACATATTTTTTAAATTTCTCAGTTTTAAGTGTTTTAAGTTCTAATATAGTAGATATCAACAGATATATCCACATTAAAAAAAAACTCTGAGGTCGATACTTTTCTATTTAGAGTGTGAAGTGTAAGAATATTAAAAATTTAGAACTGCTTTTTTATACCATTTTGGCTCTTAATTTTACATCATATGTTATAATAGTATAATACATATATATGTCATATATTTTTATGTACATATAGTATCATCTTAATTGGAATATAATACTGAAGGAAAAAATACTTACTTTTAATCTATAACACCTAAGAAAGTGAGCCAACAGATTATTGAATTGACTTGAGGTAACATGTCCAAGTATTTAATATAACCATTTTATTCAAGTTTCATAATTAGGTGGCAATAGACTAAGTCGTTTCCAGAAAATTCAAGACTCCATTCCATCTAAATGCAGTTGTCAGTTTCTATATTCTATTAACATTTTAAATTGTATTCCATTGAAGAAAAGTATTTCCCTCCTATCTTTGCACATGCAGTTCCCTCTTCCTAGAATCTCCTTTGCTCCGTTTCCTCTTCATGGAGATATTCCCTGGTCCCGCAGCTAGCTGAGGTTTACTCCTTATATGCTCACAGCACACCTTATACTTCTCCTTAAATGTCACTTCTCACAACTTTAATTGTTGAGTTATTTGTGTAATTATTTGATTAATGTCTGTCTTTCTCATTGGAATATATGCCTCAAAGGGATATAGACTGTGCCATCTTTTTAGTGATATTTCCCAACAGTACCTGCTCAACAGGGCTATGGAAACATTAAATGGACAAATATTATTAAATAAATTAACTGAAATTAATTAACCCTTTATCCTGTGACATTCTGTAATGTGGCAGATAAATTACCGGGAAAATTCCATTACACCTCACAGAAGAAATAAATAAATCTGATTTTTATTTTTAAAGGAATTATTTAGAGAACAGCTCAGTGTGTGGCAAAAGTGGTAATGGGAAGACTATGAGTCCAGGGAAGAAAGGTGGAGCCTACCTGAGGAGGTTAGCAATGGAGATGAGAAGTAAGGGACAGATTGAAGCTATAATTTATACCTAGAATCAGCAGACCCTGGTGATTAACTGGACGGGGGTGAGAGAGCCTCAGTTATCAACAGGGTGTCAAAGATCCTGAGGTTTCTGGCTTGAGCGGCTGAGAGGATGATGATTACATTTATCAACATTCAGAGAACTGGAAGAGAAAAAAGATTAGGAGGAAAAGACTAAGTCCCTGAGGTTTCTATGTGGCAGTATCAGCATGCAGGGCTGAGAGAAAAGATTTAAGAAAAGGATAAACTTGGGAGTTGTCAACACAGAGCTCATCATGGAAGCTGAGGAAGTGAGTGTGAGGAGGAGAGTGAGTAAGTGAGAAAAGATGAGTGGGGCTCAGCTCTGAGGAATCTAACGGATAGGAAGTGCTTGGGTGACATAGGGCAGGAAGTGAAACGGGAGTGGCCAGAAAGAGAAATGGTCAATGTAAGACTATCTTTGATTCGCTTCTCCCTCACCCCCAACTCTCCTTTCCATATTCCCTGCTTCTGCCCAGTCCCCACTGGGACTATTATGGTCATCTCCTAACTGGACTGTCTGCACGTTGCTTCTCCCCCAGTTCCTCATGCATCCTCCCACCAGAATACTCCCTCTACAGTGGTGCTTTCCCACACAGTAGCCATGAGCCACACATGGCTATTGAAATTACATGAATAAGAATTAATTAAAAATTCAGTTCTTTGGCCTCAATAGCTGCATCACAAGTTGTCTCCATACCCATGTGTGGTCAGTGGCTATCGTGTTAGCACAGAGGCAGAACATTTCCACCATGAGAAAAAGTTCTGTTGGACAGCACTGCTACAGCATTGCTTTCTCTCTTCTGCTCAAAAGCCCAAACTCTTTAGTCCAACATTTCTACATTCCACATTATCTTTCCAACATCCTCTCCTCCCACTTCCCAAGATCAACTCTAGGCTCAATGCAAACTGGGCACACCCACTCATTTCCACCTTCACTGATATGTTCATGTAATGCTATTTGGGCACCCTCCTGTAATACATCCACTGTGATAGTTAGATATCAGCTTGGCTAGGCTATGGTACTCATTTATTATGCAGTCAAATACTAATCAAGGTGTTGCTGTAAAGGTATTTTGTAGATGTGGTTAACATCCACAATCAGGTGACTTTCAAGTAAAGGAGATTACTCTCCATTTCTGTGTGGGCATTCTCCAGACGTCAGTCAAAAGACCTGGTAAAATCCTGATTATATCAATATATAGATTCTGGCACAGATTTCAGTACCTCCCAAAATGTAGTCTTCAAGGTTGAGCTATATACCATTTCCTTCAAAAATACAAACCTGATTTTATATAGATATACACATATATGTATATGTACACATATATGTGTATATATATATTTGGTAGATATATACACATATGTGTATATATGTATATATGTGTGTGTGTGTGTGTGTATATATAATATATATATAATTTTTTTTTTGTAGAGATAAGGTCTCATTATGTTGCCCAGGCTGGTTTTGAACTCCTGAGCTCAAGCAATTCTCTTGTCTTGGCCTCCCAAAATGCTAGGATTATAGGCCTCCAGCCCAAACCTGATTTTTCTAAGGCAATGATTCTTAAACCTGGGTGTACATTATGGTCATCTTTTAAATGTTATATAAACACACTTAGGTTCTACTAAGACCAAGATAAGCACATGAAAGTGGAGCTTGGGCCTTCATATTTCAAAAGCACACTCTAGGTAATTCTGATGCACAGCCAGGGCGAGAACTACAACCCTAACTGAACTCCTCTAGCACTTCCTAAGTGCCTAACAGAACTCATTAAACAGTACACACTGCCTTATAGTCTTTCATTCAATCAACCAACCAACCAGCGTCAACTGCACGACTAACACTGTCAGACAATAAGATGATGCAGGAGCCTGAGGTGAACAGTATGCCCACTCTTGGCCCTGTGGGTAAAGTTGAGATAGACTGCTTTGTATTTCTCTAAGCATACTGATTAATAAATATTTAATGAAAATTTTACTCCAAAATTTAGTGAAGCTAATAGTCGCTTACTCAAAATAGTACATAACTTAAATAGCCTATTTCTAGTTCATTGAAAATTACATTAGCACGTGTAAGTGCTCAACATATTTATTTATTGATAGGTTGTGCTGTTGGTATTTTATAATATTGCTGGGTATGATTAACTCTCAACCTCTTGATAATTTGGTAGGTACTTAAGTGTCTGTAACTGTACTTTCTCAGGCACACAAGTCATCAAAGCTCTTGCCTGCTCTTCTAAGAAGAACAGAACTAATTCCTGATACCAACACACTCTGATTTCATTTGAAAGGGAATGATACGGGGTATGGCAGGGCTGAGTAATGTAGGGCTGTGGCCATTTCAATCCTAGGCAGCCCTTTCCCTGTAATGTGCTTAGCCAACCACAAGCATCCATAAATGTTAGATAAGACTATTCACTATATTATTATGAACATCATTTTAAGATAGCTAAAATGTTTCTCAGTCACCGTGCAGTCACTGAACAACACTCCAGTGAGGATATCTACTGCTGATCTTTCTGCTTTTTACATATGAGGAAACTGAGGTTCTAAAAGGAAAAGCGACTTGTCCACAGAGGTCTGAGAGCAGGGTTGCATGGAAAAACAGGGTTTCTAATTCCCTGGAGTCCATCTTATGTTCAACTTCCTAGGGCAACCTTCAGAATAGCTTTCACCTACAAAAAAGGAAAATTAAAAATAAGTAAAAACACTTCCAAAGTCTCAGAAGTACCTCATCTAATTCACCTCTTTTTAATCTTCTTCCTTCATATCTCACAGATGGTATATTTGCTTTTTAAAAACACTTAAGGTAGATGAAAGTACATGACATGGTAGTGATACCATTAGCATCACTGAATGACCTGTCAAAATTTTCATTATTTGTTTTTATTTTAAGGAAGTCAGGAAAAAATCTACAATTTTTCCACACATCCTGCATTTTACAAAACACACAAATTTGCAATCAAATTTTATTCCAGCTACAAGTATGGTCTTGACTTGATATATTATAATACATGTTAACATCATAAAGATCCATATTATTGGTTTGCCCATTACAATTAATGGAGATGCTGTTTGGTAGTTATTATAATCTGTCAGGTCACATTATTCTACATTTCAAAGAGTGACTTGGGAGAAGGAGCTGTAAACACTTTTTCCTTTTGAAGAAGCCATTAAGAGTTTTCTGGGTAAAAGCATATTTATAGTTTCTTACTAGAGACATACTTGAGGAATACATTTGAGACTTATAGTAAAGATGTACTTTTTATTATTATTTGTTAAAATAAGGAAAACTACAGTTAACTAATGGGACCTCAGAAATAAAAAGATTTCAAATCATCTTTCCAAAGCCCTTCAGCCTTCCAAATTAATTAAGAGTTCAAAATACAGGAGGGATGGCAGAAGCTGAAATCCCACTGGTCTCTCCTTTTCAATTTTCTGGGAATCTTGTGAATTCACATTGTGTGTACATGCCCACCAAGTTCTGTCTTTCTCTTTAAATTTTTATTACAACATTTTACATCCATGCTGCTTTTTAGGTCATGATACGATGAGGTTATTTGCCAGCAAACTCTCAACTTTAACTCAATTATTTTGCTTCTGTGGCTTTCCTGGCCATTATTGTGATTATGCTTCTAGATGACTTATAATCAAATGAGTTCCATGGTAAATACTGATATCACATCTTTGTTCAGAATGTCCAGGGCTCC
Organism: Homo sapiens; assembly: GCF_000001405.40. NCBI lineage: Eukaryota > Metazoa > Chordata > Mammalia > Primates > Hominidae > Homo > Homo sapiens. The sequence continues at coordinate 45,312,163 of NC_000012.12, read as the reverse complement.
CTGCTTTCCTCACCCATGTTTTTGTCAAATTAATTTTGACATTCCCCAGATAACAAATAGCTTGCTGAATTTCAAATGTGATACTTTGTGGGGTGGGAATTCATGAGACATTTTACAGCAAAGGATTTCTGGAAATAGTGGAATAAAACCAGGTAGAATGAACACTGTTATATGGAGAAAGGGTTTTAATCAATTACATCATTTGGCTGCTAATAATATGTTAAATGAGGAAAAAAACATAAAATGGAGCAATGCAAATACATCAATGAACTGCATAAAACTCAATAGGGTGAGATGTCACAGAAACCTCTTTTCCCTCATTCCCCACTTTCTATCAGTTACCAAGTTAATCAATTAGAAATTGCCAATTGTCATGTCCCACTGACATGGCCTGGTTCAAGCATTCATTATCTCCATGCTAGATTGTTATCCATTTCATCTGTATTTCATCTCCTCCAAGGTGTGAGGTATTTTAATTATGACAAAATCTTTCTACTGAAATGAAATCTAGTTGCTCATATATACCTTCTATTCATGGGTCTTAATGCTACATTTTGCAATGCCATCCACCAATTACTCTTGACAAATATTTAAATCTTGCTGTCATGTTCTTGCCTAAATATCGGGATCTTCTACCATGCTGATCATTCCCTCTCAATATGCTCCCCTTTTAAAGTCAGCACTCAGAATGAGAGGCAGCTTTACCAATACTGAGCAGGAAAAGCCTAGTATTTCCTTTATTCTGGACACAGGTACAAATGCGACCTAGATTTTCATTAACCTTTTGACATTGTTATCACATGCTCAATTCACACGGAGCTTCGTTAACCAAATACCCAGCCATTTCATGTGATCCATCATTACTCTCTGCTCTTAGGCTATTTACTTAAACAGCTGATATTTATGAATTAGGGGCAGGAATTTACTTTAATTCATATTGATTTTTGTCTCCTCTAGAGATTGATTTTCATCCATTATTCCACAGTTTTAAGAATAACTGCCCAGATAAGCATGCTGTCACCAGGCACACATTTCTTCATTTTGTATTTAAATACATTTTTTCCCCACACATCTTGCTAAAATCAAAACACCAAAAATGTCTGTGGCCCTCTCCTATTCTGTCAATCTAACAACCTCCATTGAAAAAAAAGTAATGTATTCAGTTTGGGATGACTTATTTTATTGAACTCATCATGTTGGCTCCTAATGACCTTTTTTCTAATATTCACAAACCATCTGCTTAAACATCTCATTCTGGAATATGGAGATTAGTGCTTCAGCTCCAGTGTCTCCATTTATGGGAATTTAGCCTATGCCCAACTTCTACCCTAACTTCACCCCTTTTTGAGAACTGTCACATTTGCCCCACTAGATTCTGGCAGCTGTCCCAGTCCCTGTATCACCTTGAGATGACCGGCTGCACTTCCCAAAGCAAATCTACAAGCTCTTTTAATACCCTGGTTAACTCATTTGGAACAATTATACTCCTTTCTAAAATATTCTTGGGCAGCATGAGCTTCTGTAGACTTCACCAGACCTTTAACCATTATCAATCTAAAGTTCACTTTCACTAACAGAAAAGACAAAAGTAATATAGAAGCTAGTAAGCTGTTTTCTCATTCATCTCATACAGTTAAACTGACTTCCTTAAACTGTGGGCTGACCACTGCTTCTTCATCATCTCACATAACTCAAAAATCAATCAATCTCTCTGATCATGCTAAGCATTTTTTCACAAGCCTTGACTCACTTACTCAGGACTTTCATTTTACACTCACATTTTTAGGCTAAGAATGGAAAAAATAAGATTAGAGTGTTCAAGAGGACTATTAGTACAGAATGATCATTTGTTAGCCTTCTGAGTTAAATTGGCTTTAGCAGGTCTTGTCTGGCTGGGCCCAGCAACTTAATCACCATTTATGACTGTTTCTCTGGGAAAATAACATTCTGTATTCCAAAAAATTTCTAAATGACATCTTCACATGTTAAACTGCTGCACTTTTGCTCATACTCCCCAATCCTAACAAATCCATAAATTTAGCTTTTGACTCAGCCACATACAGCAAATAAATATTCCTCCATATTCAGACAAAAATGCACATTCCATCACCTTCGGTTCTTGAATGCACAAAAAGCTTTCAGCCTTGAGATGCCATGTGAATTCCTACCACAGCAAATGGGCCAATTTAGCAATTCTTACTAGCCAGTTTCTCTCTGATCTCATTTCCCCCTTTTCAGAGTCCTTTTGCCAAATTAATGTTCCTTTGTTTGGTTTTCTTTTTTGGTTGAGTTTCTTTTTTAGTTTGGCAAGCTTAAGGCCAAAGACACAAGGCAAAGTCATCATATTTCTTTGTAAGTCCAAGTGAAAAAATGCTTAACCAAGAGGGTACTGCCTTATTCTCAGACTTTCTGATCCTGAAGATCTGGAAGTCTGTGGGCAGACCTTGAGAGTTTAGTTGGGTTTCTGGGATTAGCCAAGAAAGGTCTTGGATTGACCATAAAATAGACCAAAATATTTTTCAATAGCCCTAACACCAATTCAGTTGCTTCAGAAATAACCAAAACAAAGTCTGGACTACTCAGGGAAAAAAAAAAAAGGTGAAAATAGATCCTTGAACCCACTTTGAGACAAAACCTGCAAGTAAAAATTTGTAGACCTGTGGGTAGCTGGCTCTGATTCTCTCATACCTTTCACACCTCAGGGCAAGGAAGTAAGATTAATGTTCTTTTCCCAAGTGCCACTTCCAGACCATTACTCCTCAATGTTCTTGGAAGAAAATTCATTTCAGGTCCATGTGAATAGAATACAACCCCAAAGCTTCCTAAAGTCTATAATTTCCAAATTCCCAGCTGCTGCTCCTGGTTCACTGAAATTCTGATTCTGGGCTCACATGTTCCTCTCCAATGTGTGTCCTTCATCAGACCAGGACCTATGCATCCAGAGACATGACATGACCAATGCATTCTGGCCTCTCAGTAGCCTCACTTCTTACTGCCAATCACCTTCTCCCTTTCATGCACTAATGCCATAGTCCCACCCCAGCCCTTGCCATCCTGAAAAATTCAAGAAGCATTTATTTAAGAAATATTCAAAAAGAACTTATTTAAGAATCCCTCTTTCTGACCACAACTACATTACCTACTCATTTCACAAGACCCCAGGGGCCCCTCGACTTTTTCTAATCAATCTGCCAACCCTCTTCTTTCTTCCCTTCCTTCCATCTTTAGGGCCACATTCCAGAGCACACTGTTTCAGTGACATCTTGCCAATATTGTACTCTCCATAATGTCCATCTACAAAGCCCCAACTCTGGCTGAGGGCTGCTATCTGCTTTCTTGCTGTCTGAATGATGCTGGAGAAAGCCACACAGCAGGGCAGTGTGGTAGGACTATAAATTCAGGATCATCAGCCCCACACAGGCCCTGGCCACAGCCCAGAAATCCTAAAACTTTTTCCAGGTTGCTCTAGTTAGCCTACTCTCTCACTCTCCAAATTGGTTAAATCAAACTCTGCCTATTCTACACTTGCTCCCCTCAAGCTGGATTTGAATGGGAAAAACACACAACCACCCAACCCTGACCATGACCACTACCATTGAGTAGGCTCTCATTGCTGCCAGCAATGACATTCCATTTCCCCTGTGCATTCACTTTCCCACTCTTCCAGATGAGTGTCTCACCCCTTTCTCCTCACTTCGGATCCCATTTCCCTCTTCAATCTTAGCTAATGCCTTGCTTTCCATTTCACTGGTGAATGAAAACCAATCAAGAAAAAGCTTCCGCAATCTCCTATCAAATCTACTGAACTAATTTCATCTGTGTCCCAATATGCTGGCTTCCCTCTTACTTCTAAGAAGGAACAGTCCCTACAGCTATGGCCAATCCCTCCACTTATAGACGGGATTCCCTTCTTGCCCTCTCAGGGACATTATTCCAGTAATCCTTCCCTCTCACTCTTGCATCATCAGATTTTCTCTCCCTACTGAACTGCTCCCACTACCTGACAAACAGTAATTCCTGCCATCTTAAAACTCTCTTCACGGTAATCACCCTTCCGGGTACTACCCCTTTTCTCTGTGTTCTTGCTTGGCAAAAAAAAAAAAAAAAAAAAAAAATTACACACACACACACAGACACACACACGGAAGTGTTACCTAAATTCTCTGTATCCAGTTCCTCTTCTTCCATTCTGTTTTGAATCCTTTCTAATAAGGTTTGGATTCTACCACTCAACCCAAACCCCTCCTGTCATGGTCTTTTCCCTATTGTTAAATACAATGGTCAATTCTCCATCATCAGAATGTGGTCATTCCTTCCTACTTTATACTTTCTTCACTTGGCTTCCAAGACTCTTCACTTTCCTCCCACCTCACTGGCTCCTCCTGGCTCAGCTTGTCCTGCTGATTTTTCCTCATCTCCGTGACCTGTAAACACTGGTGCCCCCGGGCTCAGTCCAGCATCTCCTCTCTATTCTATCTCACTCCTTTCCTTGCTGCTCTCATTTCGTCCCATGGCTTTAAACATCACCTGTGTGCTGACAACTCTCACATCGGGGGTTGGGCCCCCCTCTTTAACTCTTACTCCAGGTTCACATATCCCACTGCATACTGACTTCTCCACCTGAATGTCTCAAACTTTACATATCCAAAACAGAATTTTGATTTTTCTCCTGCATATCCTCTCCCCAAACTGCTCCTTCCACAGACTTCTGGGTCAAAAACTTAGAGTCATTCCTTGACTGCTCTTTCTCGCACAGCTCACATTTGATCTGTCAACAAATTCTATTGCTTCTACCCTCAGAATGTATTCAGAATTTGAGTATGTCTCTCTATCACCATAACTAACACTCAGGACCAACCCACCACCATCTCTCATTTGGATTCCTGAGAAAGTCTAATAGGTCTCTCTGCCCCTGCTCTGCTCCTCCATAATCTATTCTCAGGACAGCCCAAGGGATCCTATGAAAACAGGGCAGTTCAGGTTGCTCCTCTGCTCAAAATCTGCCAGTTTACCCTCCAAAGGCTCACCCTCAAATGACTTCCCAACTCAGAGTAAAACCAAAGTCTTTACAATGGCCTATGAAGTCCTCATATCTATTATTCTCTCGATCTTTCATTCTACTCCAGCCACAGTGGTCTTCCATTTCCTTAAATGTATCTAACAAACTCACCTACCTCGAAACCTGTTTATGCTACTCCTTCTGCTGGGAATGCTCTTCCTCCAGATTTCCAAAGAACTTGCTCCAGCAGCACCTTGAGGTTTTTTCACTTGGAACTTCTCAGTGAGATATTCCCTAAACACCCTATTTAAAACTGTCACCACCCCCCCAACACATACACACAAATAATCCCTACTTTTTCTCTACAGGATTATCTGACGTTTGTGTTTTATGTCTCCCCCATCAAAATGTTAGCTTCACAAGTGCAGGGATTTTTTTTTTCCTGTTTCTTCACCTAAAATAGTAGATATCGAATGAATATTTTAGTAAATTAATATTTTAACTCTTCCTTGGGATCACATGTGTTTTCATATGGTTGAAGATAATCAAAAATTGAATTTCAGGGAATCAAAAATATTTTTCTATAAAGTAGTATCTTCCTTCAAAAAGGGAGTCAGTTACACAAAATCTCAGGGGGATAATTACTCTTCAGACTTCCTTCTCTGTGTATCTGTGACACTTAATTAATGGGACATATATTTGTTCTCCTTTAATCTTCATCTTCCTGAGCCTATTTTTCTATTTAGCCTTTCTAAATCCTATGGTTTCTCATCATCTTCCCTGATTTATCCTATTATAAACCTAATACTCTTTTGCCATCCCAAATTCTTTCTTATTATTTATTCCAAATTTCGTAGAGACTAAGCAATGAAAAACATCCTCGGTTGGCATGAGATCAGAGGCAAGAAGAATCTTCCAGCTTCTCAAAAGTCAGTAGGGTTATATATAACCTCGAGTTCTAGAAAGGCTGGAAAATGTCAGTCTCAGATCATAAAACGTAATTCCTTGGCCTTCTCTTTCCTTGTGTTTTCATGTTGACCACAGCCTGATTTCTATCCATGGCAGTATCTTCCAGCTTGCTGCAAGCAGATTCACTACTGCTAGATCAGAATCCTTTCCCACACCCCATCCCTCAGCTCATGTGTACTCAGGCAACTGGCCCATCTGAGTTCCTGGGTCAATGTCAACAGAGTCAGAGTTTCTAGAAATAGCCTTGACCATTACTGCTCCCCCTGCACCTCCAGTTATTTTTTTTTCAACTCCTTGGGGCTTGGAATCAACCTGGGGTCTAATGGGCCCGCCATGACTGCCCCTTAGATCTCCTTTGCTCTTAACCAGACCTGGGATTGGGCAAACTAAGGGAAGTGTGGGATATCCTGCATGCAACCACATGCAGAACAACATTTATCTGCTCCATCACCATGTGGACGCCTCCCCATCCTCAGTTTCAATCACATGGCCTATTTCTGAAGTCTCTACTTTTAAGACGGAACTCTACAAGGTTATCTGAGTCTCTGGTCCTCAGTTCCCAGCCTCACTTTAACTGATTCCCTTCCCCAGAGTCATCATGCACCTAATCTATTTTCATCCATGTCCCCAAATGATAGTCACCATTCACATAGTTCCAGAACATCTGGCTATGCCACCATTTTCCTGACTACATCCTCCTTGAACTAACTGCTTTCAAAGTAACAATGGATTAGTTATGCTTATCAATATATTCAACAAATAATGTCAGAGACAATAACAATGTTGGAGAAAACAAAACAGTGTGGGAAAACGTTCAAGATAAAATGTTAATGAAACGAGTTATAAAACAGATTTCATTGTGCTTAAACAAAAAACTGAACCAGGATTGGGACAGTTTTCCACCACAGCAAGATCATCAAGTTACTTTCTAATGCCAGTATTTGCCGGGTCCCTTTCACCTGGACTCTTACCCACACACCCATCTTACTTTGGAGTGTGTCTATGTCACAGTTTCTAGTTTCAACACATTCCCAGCTCCTAAGCTTTGGGGTAGCAAGAACACATGCACCTTATGTTCACATCTCTATTCACCACTTACCATTTTTGCATAGTTTAGCTAAACTTATCTGCCTCAGTCTGCAAAGTGGGGCAGGAGCTGGAGAAGAGCAACACAGATATGCAGGTGACATGTAATCAATGGACAAACTCCGCAGCAAGTGAGAGAAGAAGCCACTGGGGATGCTGCCAAGAGCAAGGTAGGCTGTGGTCTCCAGGCCACTTGGGAGGTTCACAGCAGCATTTATTTCACTGTGATATATGCACACTATACAGCAGTGCTGGCTTTACCTAACTAGTCACATTAGAGACACCTCAGCTGTGAAGGAAAACTTGAATGTGCTTATGATGCCAGCGGCCAAGACTATTCAACTGGCAATGTTCTCTTAGGTCTCGTTTCAAAGGAAAGAAAAACAGAAATTCTGAAGGAAATGAACTAATAATGATAAGCATTTTAGTTTCCCTGTTAGCCAAACTCTATAAATACACCCCATTGTATAAAAACACTAGGCTCTTGATCCTTCTAAAATCTGAACTATTTGAGGATAAGGCCCGAGTAAACATGAACTAGGCTTTGCTTTATTTCGGTTCAACTCCACAAACTGCAGTTGGACCTTCCAAAATGCCAGATGGAGAAAAACAGAATATTGATTTTTCACCTCCTTTTATTCCTCTTTTCAGTCTTCTTTCTTCAATTTTGCTTTGCCTTTGGGTTCTTTCTGCTCTCAGGTTTGTACTGTGACACTCATTTCTGATTTTAAAATGTGGCTTGAATCAACTTACCTGATTTTGTCCTGGCATTTGCCTGCCTATACAATGGGAGCCACCCATTTTCACTGACGCTGTAAGCTTCTGCCTACAAAAAGAGCTGAGCTTAAATATAATGCTTGATTCCTCTGGGCACCCTGTTCTCAAGGCACCACTTCTACACCTTCTGTTTGTTTACCATGGAGACAGCAGTTTATGTTTACTGTGGAACTGGGAGTACACTGGCTAAGCTGATGCTAAGGAGAAAACACAGCAGCTATTTACATGTTACACAAAGAAGTGACCTTAATGAGCATCAGATGTGTGAAAATCTACGAAGCACAAGAAAATCCCAGATTCTCTCCCGAACATGTTATGAACCCATAACTAGAGAAAGATAATAGCCAGGATACAGAAATCTGTTATCAACCACACATACAGGGATATTGTGATTAACAGTTTTCAATGCCATCAATGCAGTCTAACAATATGACTCTCAATAATTCTGTAAGCGTGAGACTGAAAAATAAAAAAGTGGGGATTTAGCCCAAGAATCTCCTTCCAGCTTGGGTGTTCTCAGATTCACTGTGAAAACAAGTCTTTCAATAAGGTAAATGTATTCTGTGAGCCCGGAGTTCCACCCCTGGGCATTCTAGCTTAGACTAGCTGTCTTCTTCCACTTTGAAAAGGAAAATGTGGTACTCAAGAAGTTAATGCTGAAGGTGGAGGAAGATTATCAGTGTATCTGCCTTATCTGTGGCAACAAACTGCCGAGACTTGCCAGTCTGCAACATCGCAATACACTCAAGGCTGTTCTTGAGGAAAATACTTTTATTTTCACATAGGGAATTGGTGCGAACTATGTATAGGTTTACCAGGCGCACCAACACCTTGTTGCACACAGTTCTTTTTAGATTAGATATGTTGCTTGAAAAGTATCAACAAAAGGAGCCAAAAATAAAACAACAAAAAAAAGAGGCAGCTTCATGAGTGTCTACCAGTATCATACTCAAATGTGAAATATCTGTGTCAATTCTGCTTTTGGTCTCTAACTGCAAAAGTTAGAAAACCCACAAAATTGCTCTGCTACTTTAAGATGCAGGAATATTGGTGGGCATGCACAATTTCCCTTTACCAGAAATCTTATTGAATATAATAGGGAAGTCATTGAATACTACGTCTTTCTATTATATCCAGGTGATTTTCACAGTAGGCAATCTGCTAGTACACCACAGGAGTCCCACACTTTGAAATAAAATGGCATTGTGGATACAGTTTTATGTGCCATCCCTTTTCAGTCCAGAGCACTCTCTAGTTTCTTTACTCTTGGTTGAATTGACTAGGCAATCCATAAAGAGTGAGCAAGAACAGAAAAAGCACATAATGAGGTTTTTTTGGTCTTTACCAATAATACAATTGTGCTCTGCCAATTACTGGAGTGGTGATTGTATATCACATTGAAAATAAATAAAAAAACATTTCTGCACTCCTAAAGTGGTAGGCCATTTGCAGCAGGGACAAAAATCAGGAAATGTAAGTGGATCCTGGCATGTTTTTCCTACATATCTGGTGCAATAATATGGTACATGAGTCACAGAAACACTTGTTCCCATCCCCGCCCTCCAAATGAGCCTAATGTAAAAATCTATTTACTAAGGATATTTTGCACAAGGCATCCTATGTGCTTAATTTTCTTTAAAAAAGGCATTAATAAAATCATAGTAGCTTCTAATAAGATTTTTAATTCCTTAAGGGTAGGAACCATGGCTAATCTTTAATGAGTCCAATTTAATGGGAGCATTTAGTTCCCTTCTGGTAGAAACAACCAACAGAATATTCCTAGCCCTACAAGATACATGTAGGTTGTATCACTGAAAGCTCCAGGATGAAAGGGAAAGTAGACTATGTTCGCTACCAGTGACTGGCACTGGTCAATATACCTGTATATGCTTAAAGACTGCTTTCCAGAGTTACTAACAACAGATACTGACAGCAATGGTATCAATGAATGGAACAGGAGTTTCAGAAACAAGATGCTATTTTATTACAAAGTGAACTCCCATTTGCAATTACATGAACAATATGAAGAACAAACCTATAGACCATGATGCTTACACAATCAAGTTCAGCAACCTATTCCCAAGAGACACCAGAGCTCTGAACGCACAGTCCCTGCAATAAGATCTATGTAGGATCTACAGCCATTGAAGGAATGAATTCATAAAAGAACTTTTTTCTCATTTTGTGAAAAATCTCTTAGCTTAAGAATACAAATTTAAGATAAAGGAATAGTACTCACAAACTCCGGGGTTCGAAAATCATGCTGACTTTCCAGTGATCCCAAATCGGGGACAATTGTCTGTCCAAGGTTTTCCAACACTAAAAACGAATGAATATATAAACAAATGAAGCATGAACCTGCACTGGCTCACGTAGTTCTGTACTTTTAAATCAGCAGCACCGGGTTATTAACATTGGTAGCACATTGACAGGTTTATATTATTTAACCCTTTCAGCTATCAGATATATTAAAAAATATGTAGCAGCTGTTTCATCTATTGGATCTACCAGACGATGCCAGGGTTGTAGAACACTAGGTCTTAAAATTCTCTAGGCAAGGTCTACCACTGAAAATCATTTAACTGGTACACAGCAAGCAAATGTTACAAAAGTCTAACTAAGAAACACTTTACTGATGTTCTGTTTTCTATTACAGGGTACTGCTGTGAAGTCCCTTTGTGGGTAGCAATCTTCTTTTTCTTTTTTTTTTTTTTTTGAGACAAGGTCTCACTCTGTCACCCAGGCTGGAGTGCAGTGGCACGATCACAGCTCACTGCAGCCTCGACCTCCTGGGCTCAAGTGATCCTCCCACCTCAGTCTCCCAAGTAGCTGAGACCACAGGTGTATATTACCATGCCTGACTAATTAAAAAACATTAAAAAACATTTTTTTTTCTTTTGTAGAGACAGGGGTATCCCTATATTGCCCAGGCTAATCAGTCTCAAACTCCTAGCCTCAAGCGATTCTCCTGTCTCAGCCTCCCAACGTGCTGAGATTACAGGAATGAGCTACCATGCCTGGCTATTTTAAATCTGATAGAAATATAATGGGAGCCAGATAGAATTTACTAGTAGAGACGTTTTTAAAAAAAAAGAAACAGGTGAAATTAATTTTAATAACATAATTTATTTAACCCATACTACCCTAATTATCATTTGAACATGTAATCAGTGTAAAAACTATTTATGAAATATTTTACCTCTTTTGTGTTAAGTCTTAGCAATCCAGTGTATATTTTATACTCACAGTGCATCTCAGTTCAGACTAGCCACATTTCAAAAGCTCAATAGCCATTTGTGACTAGTGGCTACCATATTGGACAAGTGCCATGTTAGAGGGATAGAGAAACCAAATCAAGAAGGTAGGTCATTCTGTAAGACGCTATAGTTTCATCTTGTCAACAAGTTACTGACATGAATAAAACGAATTGTTCCAAGTTAACAAAACAATCATTTGCAGCATGTGGTTCTGGATTGGATCCTGGTTTAAACAAATGAGATGCAAAGAACTTTTTTATTTTTAACTTGCAAAAATTTGAATAGAATTTTTGCTATGTAAGAAAATGTTCTGAATAAATGTAAAGAGATATTCTTAAATATTTAAGTAAGCTTAAAGATTTAATGTTTAAGTAAGTTTAAATAAATATTCTCATTTATCAATAGGTCCAGCCTCTTTAACAAGTCAATGACATTAAAAAGGGAGATCAGATTTAAAGAGCCCTAAAGGACATAACCACTAGCAATATAGGGTCCTCAACTGGATCCTAATTTGGACAAACCAGTTATAAAGGACTTATTTTTCAAAACTGGAGAGTTTGAGTATGGAATAAGTATAAAACTATAAAAAATTATTTTTGGCTGGGCATGATAACTCACACTTGTAATCCTAGCACTTTGGAGGCCAAGGTGGGAGGAGTGCACAAGCCCAGGAGTTTGAGACCAGCCTGGGAAACATGGTTAGACATCTTTACAAAAACCTTTTTTAATTAGCCGGGCGTGATGGTGTGCACCTGTATTCCCAGCTACTCAGGAGGTTGAGGTGGAAAGATTGCTTGAGCCTGGGAGGTTGAGGCTACAGTGACTGTGATCATGCAGCTGCACTCTAGCCTGGGTGACAGAGCAAGATTCTGTCTCAAAAAGAAAGAAATAAATAATGCTTTAATTTTATTGTGTGTGATTTATCTCGGCTTTGTAGTGACTTTTAAAAATGCATACTATGTTTTCCCTTAATCCATTAAAAGCTTTTATAGAAGAGAAGGCTGGGTTCCTATTGATCTAGAAACATTCAGTGACCCAAAAGAAGAAAACTCAACATTCATATAGGGCAGAATCATAAGAGATCTCTATGTGATTGTTTACAAAACCAAAATATCAGCCAATAATTTAGCCAATTCAGTTACCAAATACTTAGGTTTGGCACCTCACTAAGAAATCTCCTAATATTTGGATTCAATTTTTTTTCTTTTTCTTTTTCTTTTTTTTGAGATGGAGTCTTCCTTGACTGCCCAGGCTGGAGTGCAGTAGCGCAATCTGGGCTCACTGCAACCTCTGCCTCCTGGGTTCAAGCAATTCTCCTGCCTCAGCCTCCCAAGTAGCTGGGACTACAGGCGTGCCACTACACCTGGCTAGTTTTTTTTGTATTTTTAGTAGAGAAGCGTTTTCACCATACTGGCCAGGCTGGTCTTGAACTCCTGACCTCATGATCTGCCTGCCTCGGCCTCCCAAAGTGCTGGGATTACAGATGTGAGTCACCGCTTCCGGCCTGGATTCAATTTTAGGTTCACACAGAATCTGAGGAAAAAATACCTCACATCTTTGTATACTTATGAATTGAAAAGAAATGCCAGTAGAAATGACAGTACAATCAAGTGATTCTAACTCTTCTGAAAAACTGAGTTCATTAGAGGACACCCTATGTGTGAACCAAAGCAGAAACAGAAAACAGATGAGATGAGCAAAGGCTTGAAGAGCTGCAACCATTGCCAAAATTAAGGTGCTTGCCTCTGAGAACTCCTGGAGGGCTATAGTAATCACCACACAGTCTGTTACACTGAGAGAGTTGTAACATACTAAACTGGTTATTCCAGTACAACAGTTGTCCAAGATAATTACACTCCTACAGACCATCTTTAAAACTTGCTAAAATGTGCTTATATGCGAGGCTATGATAAGTGTGTTCTAAGTTAGTGCTGGGCAGCTTGCTTTACATTTGGAAGAAAAGACCTAATCTTTTTATAGTATTAAGACAGATGTTAAAAAAATTATATCTATGGTATTTATGATATTTTGGTTTTTGGCAGAACCAGCAAACAAGGAAACATAATACTGTGGGGTTTTTGTTTTTTTTTTTACACCAGTATTATAAATCCGATGGAGTGACTTGGCATCTTATCTAGATTCCTAGATGATTAGATACCCAATTTATCTGTTATCTAAGGTCAACAGACGGAGCTGCTAAAGTTGATTTTTTTCTTTTTTCTAAATGAAAAGACAAGCTTAAGAAAGTATGCATTTTGCCTAAAGACAGGACAAACAAGATTACCCAGATGTTCTATCCAATAAACGGTATCTATGTAGCTTGAATGGATTTGTGAAAGAAATTAGAACTATTTATAGTTTTAGTTAGTCTGCTGGTAATGGAAACTAATAGATTCACTGGTTAATGTCAATACAAAGAAAAAACTGTAAATCTGAGTGAATAAAAACAGAAATGGCTTTATTGAAACATCATCTAGGTAGAACAAAGCCACAGCTCTTGCTCTCATGACCTGATAGAGTGCTGGGAAGCAAATGATTTATGAGGCCAATATAATTCTACCCCCACTACTGAGGGGCTCTAGTTACTGTTTGATATTCTCATTTATGGTAATCTAACACAACTGAAAAAGTTCATTTCTCAGCAAAAATAAAATAGTCAAAATCAAGGTGACTGAGGGTTTGTATTAAAATGAGCAGAATCAAGACAAAATTCTAAAAAGGCAAATATGTTAATTTCATTTCTTTCCTTATATAAATCATGTTTTTCTTAACGTAATATGTTGAAATGTATTTTTAGTCCTGTCACTATGCCTCAGCCTTATACAGCAAAAGTACTATCTTCAGTGGCATCATGTTTAGTTCATTTAATTTCAGCACTTGGAACAACAGTACTTGAGACCTCTATGTTATCTGTTCATCAAACGGCTGACTAGAAAACAAAAAATAGTTATTCTAATATGATGACAGAAACCTTGGTCTTGATACGTCAGTGGGATTTCGCATGGATGCACAATGAAAGTGCAGTTCAAAATCAGGTTCAACAAACATCAAAATCTACTTTATATTTTGCACACTGTGTGGTAAGGCCCTAGGGAAGCCAAGAAGAACCAGACAAGGTTCCGTTTTCTTGAAGAAAGAAACCAGAGACATAATTAATGTTAATTTTAGTGTCATTTCTAAGTGCCACACTAGACAGATTTATGGAGTACTGTAAGAATACTATCAATTGGATTACTATAGGTAAACATTGAATAATTGATGATTTCGGTCAAAAGAAACCCACTAAATAGCTACCTTTCCTAAATTCAATAGAATTAATTATATAACACAGTGAAAAATAAAAGAGCATACTTTAAAAATTTTTATCAATGCAATTAGTATAGTGAAATTGAAGCAATAAAGTCCTTGGTGGTACTGCTTCTGACTTATTTGATAGTCCAAAATCAACAGCCCAAAAGAATTTTCTAGAGGCCCAGTCATATTAATAATGCAACACTGGAAGCCTCTACAGAAAGCTGCAGTTCACATGATTACTTGTCTACCAATTAGAAATGGAGTAACTAACATCCATTGTCCCAATTGTAAAATAAAGAGAAAATCTATACAGCAAAGTTGTTTGAGACTTATATAAACTGGCCAATAAAAAGAGCCATTGTCTACAAGTTTATAACTCAGACAATCTATTATCTATGAGAAAACACAAAATGATCTCAGGAAACTCTTGGTTAAAACCCCAAATACCTAATAGGTAGTGCCCTAGGAATAAAGATAATCAGAATTAGGCATCAACAATTTATCCAACTTAGCACTAGCATGGCAGGTGGTTGGGTCCAATGACTCATCTGTTACAGGGATTGGTTGCCATTAAAATTATCAAAGATAGTGAATATATAGAGAGAGAGCAAGTAAAAGTATACCAAGGCCTGGCACAAAGGGCACTGGGTATAGACTGAGGGGACTGACTGGGTTCAAGTTCTGATTCTGTAATTTCTTAGCTGCATGATCCTTGGCAATGCTTATTCTCAAGTTTATTTATCTAATGCTAGTGATAACGTTACTTTCCCTGGTTATCTCACAAAGTTGGGCAAAGATATAAATGACAATTCACAAGCATGTTGTTAAAAAAAAATAAAGCACTATATAAATACAAATTAAGTTCATGTAACAGACTCAATGATATGAAGTCACGTAATCAGAAATGTACCTACTATTTTGTGCCTGGTACTTCTAAATGTCTTATCTTATTTAATCCTATTTTTGTCCCTCGTTTTCACAGATGAAGAATAATTAAGGTTATTGGCTGCATGAAGTTAACCAAGCAAAGTGACACAATGGGAATCTAAACCTGATTCCAAAGTTGCACATCTTTTAAAATACATTAATTTGTCTCCTGAGCTGCTGTGAATAATCCAAAGAACTCCTGATGTTAGATATAAGTTTAGAAGAAATTAGAATAGTATTGTATATAAATTTTAAAAATCAGCAAATAACTGCTTCAATATAGCCAGATAGAGATATAACAGACTAATACAATTTGGAAAAAAGAAAAAAAAGAAAAAAACAATGTAGTGAAATTTATATAGCATTCGCAATTAGAACTAATGGGAAAGCTCCACAGGGTAAACAGATACAATACTCTGGCAAGTGGTTAAAGACATTCGTGTGCCAGGGATTGAGCTAGATGATGTAAGTACAGATATCAAGATAAGGAGGGTACAGAATCTAACCTCAGGAATTCTATGATCTAGTCAACGTACGCAACTAAAGAAATGTCAAAGGAATGGCCCATATCACCTTGAGAATGAGGACATGTTCACATATCCAGATTGGGCACGATATCTAGAGATCTGCCACGCTGTCTTGTACCTGAAACTCTTCTTTCCATTCTGAAAACTGGATCTCAGCATACATCTAATATTTGACCTGAATGCCAGCACTCACCAGTCATTATTTTAAAAGCAACCACACGGTTGGATCACCTGACACCAGGAGTTCAAGACCAGCCTGGGCAATGTAGTGAAACCCCATCTCTACTAAAAATACAAAAATTAGCTGGGCATAGTGGTGCATGCCTGTAGTCCCAGCTACTCAGGAGGCTGAGGCACAAGAATCACTTGAACCAGGAGGCTGAAGTTGCAGTGAGCTGAGACCGCACCACTGCACTCCAGCTTCCTGAGTGACAGAGACTCTGTTTCAAAAATAAAAATAAAAATAAAAATAAAAAAATTTAAAAAGCGCCTGTAATCACAGCACTTTGGGAGGCCAGGTGGACGGATCACTTGAGGTAAGGAGTTCGAGACCACCCTGGCTAAAGTGGTGAAACCCCGTCTCTACTAAAAATTAAAAAATTAGCCAGCCATAGTGGTACATGCCTGTAACGCTAGCTACTCTGGAGGCTGAGGCAGGAGAATTGCTTGACCCAGGAAGCAGAGGTTGCAGTGAGCCGAAATTGGGCCCCTGTACCCCTGCACTCCAGCCTGGGCAACCGAGTAAGACTCTGTCTCAAAAACAAAACAAAATAAACAAATAAAAAAGAGAGTAAAAGCAGCCACATACAGGGCCCACCATTTCCCGTCGCTTCATGCTTTCCAGATTGCTGGGCCTGCCCAGTCTCACTCCCCACATCACTTCAGCTGAGTCTATCCCCGCCCCGCTGCTCCTGCATCATTCTCTGGTAGTCATAATTGTTCTAAGGGGTTCCAACATCTCTTTCTCTGGCCTCAGTTTAACAGGATTTGCCATATTTTGGTGAACAATGAGGTGAGAGAAATTCTACTTCCTATATTAGCAAGAGGTTGTAGGCTTGCAGAGTATAGGCCTTGTGATATTACAACGAGATTTTAAAATAGAGCCACTCAGTCATTATTAATGCAAAGAATGTTAGTAATAAAACATAAAATACAAAGCCAAAAGCGTAGCTTTCAAGAGCATGATGGCTATGTATTGCTACACAGGACAATGGACTTGAATCATAAGAGCGCTACATGGTTTAGCCCTGAGGCTCAGGCACCTCACTTAACGCTTAGTCTGTTTCCTCATCAATAAAATGCAGATTATAATGCCTACATCAGAAGGTTACTGTGGAGAATAAGCTGACATATATATGAAACTGACGTGAAGACTCTTAAGTACTATATAAATATTGGCTATCATAATTTTTCACTTCAATTTTTAATACGTTTTATCATCCTTTGCCTCATTAGGCACCAATTTTTCCTTCTGACTTCTATCTTGACAATCCCTGTCCTTCATTTCCTTTTTAAATATTAAAATAAATTTAAGCATAGAAAGGGATAACATTAATTCAGCAATCATTTTCGAATAACTACAACGTTCTGGGCAATGTTGGTTACTTGTTTCTAATGAAAAGAAATGTCAATCAGGAAATGTCTGAATCTGGATGGATCAGTCTCTTACCCAGTCTGTTACTGGCAAGTAAACTCAATGACTTACTATTTACATTAACAAAAAAAGTGGCAGTCTCTTCTAATCATTTCTAGAATGCAAATTCCAAATTCAAATTGATAGTTTTCATTACAGTTCTCTGTCTTTCCCATCTATCTTAAGACAGGAGCTTTCCCTCCCTCCCTGCACCTGGCCCCCTTCTCAACAAAGATATTTCTACAATTATTACCACTTCAGCCACTGCTTCTAAAACAAAGAAGGAAAAAGAAAGTTATTCATGAAGATGTAAACTTTGTCAGGGTAAGAACATTTTTTACTCATGGCCAGGGTCCAGTACTATACATTTGGCAATTTAGAAAATTAATAAATATTCTCTCCGCATTCTGGTAAAAAATGCTTTTCCTCAAAAGGTTCCCCTTTGCTGTGCTACCCTTCTTGAATAATGTATTATCATCAGTTCAATTCCCCAATCCAAAAGCGGGAGCCATTCTTGACCTTTCTCTTTCCTTCACTATCAATATTTTGGTAAGTCACTAAATTATATCCTTCTTATTTTCAACCTCATCTTAAGTGTTTTCTACCTACCTGGAATGCACATTCCCATATCCCCTGTGTTACTCTTTCTTCAAATTTTTCTTTCAATGTCACTGCTTATGTGCCAGGTTAAGTTACTTGCCTCCACTTCATGCTCCTATAGCACTAATTTGGATGTCTAGTAAAACCTGCCACATTATTATAGGTGGAGCCAAAAAATCATTGCATTATTGGCTATTAAAATACAGTATTTTGGCCGGGCGCAGTGGCTCACGCTTGTAATCCCAGCACTTTGGGAGGCCGAGATGGGTGGATCATGAGGTCAGGAGATCGAGACCATCCTGGCTAACACGGTGAAACCCTGTCTCTACTAAAAATACAAAAAAAAAAAAAAAAAAAAAAAAAAACATTAGCCAGGCATGGTGGCAGGCACCTGTAGTCCCAGCTACTCAGGAGGCTGATGCAGGAGAATGGTGTGAACCTGGGAGGCGGAGCTTGCAGTGAGCTGAGATCATGCCACTGCACTCCAGCCTGGCAACAGAGCGAGACTGTCTCAAAAAAATAAAATATAATATAATACAGTATTTTTTTCAGTTGGACATCCAGTTATAGGAAAAAGGTTTTTTTTTTTAAAGAGTGATTTTTATAAGCAAAATTTGCAGCTCACATTGAACAGAATTCAAAATTATCACATGGTTACTTTTTGACAACTACCCACCACTATAGAAGATAAAATCTGGGGAAAAGATAGGTGTTGATCCTTCTTATCACAAGAAAACTGTGTGGTCATTGTTTTTCTTCTCCACTAGTCCATGAGCTCCTAGAGGGCAAGCCATTGTCTTATTCAACTCTATATTCCAAGAACCTGAAACAATACCTTGCATATTATAGATGCTCAATAAATGAGAAAATAAACAAATGATGAAATTAATTATAAATTTGTCACTCCAGTACAGTTACTAGTGCTCTTCAATTCCTCAAAATGTAATTGCTTAGATAATAAGAGAGTGCTTCTATTTCCAGAACCATATTGCACTGCACCATACTGTGACACACACACAAAGCAGACTAATAATACAGTGTCCCTTCAAGACCAAATACTCATCAAATATTTGGACAATATTTATAAAAAAGGAGCCTCCCCGGCACTCTGCCCACTGCTCACTGTTCCAGCAACTCACCAAATAGGAACATGTTCTTACCAGCAGCACAAAACATTCCACAGCAGAACAAAAGGGGGAATGGACAATTCGGTGAGTCCTTGACGCTTCTTACCCTCCTACCTCTACCTTAAGTGACAACTCTGAAGATTTCTATCATCCACAAACAGCAATATTTCTGAGAAGAGTTTCAGTAAGCACAATTTCTCCACCTTGTAACATTTCCATGTTTGGTGTTGTTTCAGCTCTGCTTATGAACTCTTCCCCTATTCCTACAAGCCTCCTCTGCCCCAACAGTTCAGCTCTAAAAATACATCTAGAAGTTAAACATGCGTCCTTTGGAAGAGCTGGAAACAACTATCACATTACTGATTCTCACACACAACTGGATTACCTAATGCTTTTATAGAAAAACTCAATGTACACTGCAAACCTATCAGATTCACTGTGAATTCATTAGTTCTCTTACCATCTTAAAAAAATTTATTGCAGTAACGTAATATATAAGCATAAAGTTTGCCACTTTAGCCATTTAAAATATATAATTCAGTGGCAATAATTACATTCACAATGTTGCACAGCCATCACCACTATTTCCAAAATGTTTCTGATCACCCCAGAAACTCTAACCATTAAGCACGAATTCCCCATTTCCCCTTCCCCTTTTCCCCAGTCCCTAGTTATCTCTAATCTTTTTTCTATCTCTATGAATTTGCCTATTTAATATATTTCATATAAATAGAGTTATACAATATTTGTCCTTTTGTTTCTGGCTTATTTCACTTAGTATAATGTTTTCAAGTTATATCCAAGTTGTAGCATATATCAGAACTTTGTTCCTTTCTATGACAGAATAATACTTCGTTGTACAGATATACTACGCTGTATTTACCCCATTCATCTGTGGATGGACACGGGTGTTGTTTCCACCTTTTGGCTATTGTGAATAATGCTGCAACGAGCACTGTTATACAAGTATCTGAGTCCCTGTTTTCAATTCTTTTGGGTGTATATCTAGGATTTGGAACTGTGGATCGTACGATAATTATGTTTGCTTTTTAAGGAATTGCCAAATTGTTTTCACAATGCCTGCACCATTTTACAGTCCCATCAGCAATGTATGAGGGTTCTAATTTCTCTACATACTCACCAACACTTACTATTTTGTGTGCTCTTATTTGATTAAAAAAAAAAATAGTAGCCATCCCGGTAGGTGTAAAGTGGTATTGTGGTTTTGATTTTCACTTCCCTAATGGTGAATGATGTTGAGCATTCCCTCCTGTGCTATTAGATATCTGTACATATTCTTTTGGAAAAACATCAAAAATGCTCAAGTCCTTTGCCTATTTTCCAACTGAGTCTGTCTTTTTGCTGTGTTCAGGAGTTATTTATATATTCTGGATATTAAAGACTTATCAGATACATGATTTCCAAATATTTCTCCCATTCTGTAAGCTGCCTTCACTTTTTTAATATCCCTTGATGCACAAAAATTTTTAATTTTCTCAAGTCCCGTTATCTATTTTTAATTTTTTTTTTGTTCATGTTTTTGATGTTATATCTAAGAATCTACTGCCAAATCCAGGTCATAAAGATTTTCCTTTGTGTTTTTTTTTTTTTTTTTTTTTTTGAGACGGAGTTTCACTCTTGTTGCCCAGGCTGGAGTGCAATGGCGCGATCTTGGCTCACCGCAACCTCCGCCTCCTGGATTCAAGCGATTTTCCTGCCTCAACCTCCTGAGTAGCTGGGATTACAGGCATGCACCACCATGCCCAACAGTTATTCCCTTATGTTTTCTTCATGAATTTAGCTCTTGCACGTGGGTTAATCCATTTTGAGTTAATTTTTGTCTGTGATGTGAGGTGGGATTGAACGTTGCTCTTTTCGCATGTGGAAATCCAGTTGCTGCAGCACCATTTGTTGAAGAGACTCTTCTTTCCTCATTGAGTGTATCTGGCACGCTTTTCAAAAACCAGTTGGGCCATTGACATGTGGGTTTATTTCTGGACTCTTGATTCTATTCCATTAGTCTATATATCTATCTGTACCCAAGACCACACTATTTTGATCACTGTAGCTTTGTCATTAAGTTTTGAAATCAGAACCCATGAATCCTCTGACTTTATTCTTTTTCAGAATTGTTTTGGTATTTGGACAACTTGCCATCTCATATGAAATTGTGGATCTGCTTTTTCATTTCTGCAACTTTTAGCATTTAATAAACAGACTTTTAAAAACTTAGATTTACCATTAAAAATAGATAGCTGAAGAGTAATATTATTTAATTTTGCCAATTTGGTATTTTAAAAGCCTGGTTTAGACAGCTGATATTCTATAAATGGCAAACAGTATTAATTGTAGAAATATGTTCCAATAACATCTTGGAACACTACTACTATTGCTTCACAGTCTAACTGGTTCAGGTCTCCTAAGACCCTCAGGCTCTCAGTTCAACATTATCCTGGGTTTGCAACTGGTTGTGGCTTAGCTGAAACTTGGTTCTAGTCGCTGACCTGTCAGTTCCCAGATTATAGTGATTGCACATGGCCTGGGGATGAAAGAAGACACCACTTTTAAATTCCTATTGTCTTTCAGCTCCAAGTACATTTGAGTCATAACTTCATGCTTAACCTATCAGAGTAGGCCTGATTTCAAAACCAGTTTTTGCTGCCTAGAAGGAATGAGAACATAAAAATGAAAGGAAAAAAAAAGCCGCTATAGGTTCACATGACCTTATCCAAAACCTGTGATGCCAAAACCTAGTGTTTCAGAATTCAGAATTTTTCAGAATTAAAAAAAAAAAAATTTTACATGTATATATTGTCTCTATTACTAATGCACCCCCAGTGAAGTCTGGAACAGCATGCCTTACCCAAACACATTCATATTTTGCAGCCAGATAATATAAATATTCATTTGAGGGGGAGGATAATGAAAAATGTAAATGGTCTTGTGTTGGTTGAGGTCAGATATCTACATCAAATGAGTTCAGCTCTGTCAGGTTTTATAACCAAAGGAATTACCAAAAAAATTTTTTTCAGCACTTTATGGATGTTTGAATTCTAAGGAATTGTGAGCCTGTAATAACTACGAATATATTCAGCACCCAATAACAGATTACACAAAACCTCAGTACAGCTGCTTGTCATATACACACAGAGCAAAAGGTTGGCCAATTACCTTCAAATGAAAAACTAATTGACTGGAAAAGGGAAAGACCCCATAGGGTCTCATTTCCTCTAATCATCTCACAAATTGAGTATTTACCAAATTAGTATTTCCCCCAGTAATCAGCTACAAATAAACTCTAACTCAGAAAGTAAATCCTAAATTTGGATAAAAGGAAAATCAGAATTGATATACTACTTTTAATTATCCAAATGAACAGAAAATAGTCATTAATATCTAATATTAGCAAAGATGCTGGGAATAAACACACTGGCAGTGTGGGGTGGTATAAGCTTTTTGGGTAGCAATTTGGTGAGTATAGCAAAAGCTTTAAAATTATTCACACCCGGCTGGGCACAGTGGCTCACACCTGTAATCCCAGTACTTTGGGAGGCCAAGGCGGGTGGATCACCTGAGGTCAAGATCAGCCTGACCAAAATGGTGAAACCCCATCTCTACTGAAAAAATACAAAAATTAGCCAGGTGTGGTGGCAGGCACCTGTAATCCGAGCTACTCAGGAAGGTGAGGCAGGAGAATAGCTTGAATCTGGGAGGTGGAGGTTGCAGTGAGCTGAGATTGCACCCCTGCACTTGAGCCTGGGAAACAGAGTCAGACCATGTCCAAAAAAAAAAAAAAAGTAATAATAATAATAAAATAAAAATAATTCATACCCTTTGATCTTATAATTCTACTAGGAAATACTTGATTGCTTAAATCAATTAGGGTACAGCTATATGACTGTATATAATGCAATTATTTAAAATAATTTATAGAATATTCATGACAGAAAATTTCAGCAATATATCTCTATGTGAAAAAGTAGATTATAAAATGTTATATATTACTGGCTAACACGGTGAAACCCTGTCTCTACTAAAAAAAAAATACAAAAATTAGCCGGGCGTGGTGGCAGGCGCCTGTAGTCCCAGCTACTCGGGAGGCTGAGGCAGGAGGATGGCTTGAACCCAGGAGGTGGAGCTTGCAGTGAGCTGCGATAGTGCCACTGCACTCCAGCCTGGGCGACAGAGTGAGACTCCGTCAAACAAAACAAAACAAACAAACAAAAAAGTTATGTATTATAATATATACCCAAAAGAATTAGAAGTAGGAGCTCTAACAAATATTTGGACATCCATGTTCATAGCAACATTTACAATAGCAATTCAAGTGTCCACTGACTGATGAAATGGGTAATAAAACATAATGGAGTATTATTCAGCTTTAAAAAGGAAGAAAATTCAAACATATACTACAACATAGATTAATCTTGAGGACATCAGGCTAAGCAACATAAACCAGTCACAAAAGGACAAAGAATGTAGGATTCCACATATATGAAGTACTTAGAATAGTCATATTCACAGAGACAGAAAGTAGAATGGAGGTTGCCAGGAGAAGGGGGAATGGGGAGTTATTGTTTAATTGGTAGTTTCAGTAACAACCTTTTTCAAGATGAAAATGATTCTGGAGATGGATGGTGGTGATGGTTGCACAACAATGTGAATGTACTTAATGCTTTTAAGTGCTGAACTATACACTTAATGGTTAAAATGGTAAGTTTTAGATTATGTGTATTGCACCACCACACACAAAAAAGTGTAGCTTTAAAAAAATAATCCTTTAGCTGTTGTAGGCTAGGCTGTACCAGGCAGTAGGTGCTTTCTAACACCTAGATGGGTGAGCAGGAATGAGACCTACTACATGCTCTGCTGTCCTTTAGGGAGAGCTCTTCTGAGGCTTCAGTCCATAACGACCATCTGACGGGTGGAGGGGACTCTCGTGGTGCTGGGGCTTTTATCATCTTACCTCTACTTTAACTCTCCCCCTTGCCATAAGCCATTTTCCAATAAACTAAAGGGTATATAATTTTAAAAATTGTTATGTTTTATATGATCTAAGACTTATATGGGGTTAAAAAAATGTAAGCAAAAGGATAAGGAGTAGTGGGATGTCAGGTGATCTTTAATATTTTAATACTTGACGTTTTCCAAATTTTCCACAATGAACAGAAGACCAACACATCAAGAAGCATCCCAGTTTTAGCATATCTACCCTCCACTGTGTCTTCCCTTCAAAAGAGGTTTGCTATACCTTGCCTTTCCCACTTCAGTAAATGCCCCAAAATTCACCAAATTAACCAGACCAAAATTACTGACGTCATCCCTGACTCCTTTTCCTTATTCTCCTACATCCAATTTCTCAGTAAATCCTGTCCGCCAAATTTTCAAAACCTACCCAGGAGCCAGCTACTTTTCACCATTCCCACAGGGCTTCTATGGATAATACAGCTCACACTTAAGAGCGTGCAATAGATTCCAGTGCCTATTCTATAGCTAAGTCCTTTTCATATATGAACGCATTACATTCTCACAGCAGTTCTGCAAGGTAAGAAAAGTACAACAGTTACCTTCATATCACTGATGAAGAGGCATGGAGAAGTTAGGTATTTTGCATAAGATCACACAGCTAGTGAGCAGTGGAATCAAAATGTGAACCCCGGAGCTCACAGGTTATGCTTTTAACCACTATATTACACTGCGCACTCGGCCTTAGGTAGCATTCTCTCTCACATTATTCAGCTCTCTGTTCAATATCCCTGTCTCAGAGAGGTTGTCCCTGAAATTCTAATTTAAGCAGCCCTAGAGAAGAGCCATCATTCTGTTAGCTTGCCCTGCTGTACTTTCCTTTAGCACTTAATTAGTAATTACGCATAAAGTATGTAAGTTCCATAAGAGTAGAGATCTCACCTTGTTCATGGCTGAATCCCAACCACCTAGGATAGTTCCTGGGCCATGTTAGGCGATCCATCATTAATCTCTTGAATGACTGACCAAATGAATGCATAACTAATATAAGACTGGCTGCTGGAGTAAGACAGACCTGAATGCAAATCCCAGACCTACCACTTCCTAACCACGGGAGCTTAGATCATTCAACCTTCCTATCCCCCTCAGTGTCTGCACCTGGAAAATGGGACTAGTATTTACCCCTCAGGGTTGTCTTGAGGATAAAATGAGTTGTGGCATGTGAAGTGTTTAGCCTGGTTACTTACACATAGTAAACACTTGACAAACATTAGCTACTTGTATTGCAAATGAGAGGGGAAAAAATGTTATGCTTAATCCTGCCTGAAGTTCTTTTCATTTTTAAAAGAGGGGTATACAGCTTTAGGAAGATAGCTGTTGAGAAATAAAGTTGCTGATGATAGTTTATTAAATGTTAGGTCACACTGAAGATAAGGAAAACCATATGTAAATTTGGTCTAATACTGAAAGTGGGGAGAACTCAAAACACATTAGCTCTATCTAAATTCCATTTTTTGCATTCTCTGTTGTATTTCTAAATCATACCCCCTACTTAAATCTTGAATGTATGGATATTTTTTAAGTCATCGGTTAAATAATGGACTGAAACAATAAAAATTCCTTCTGGATGGATGTTTTATTAGTTCAGGGTATTATTTTAGGCCAAATATAACTGAATGCCTTTACGGTTAAGATTATTTAAATTCATATTCAAGTCCCAGTCACCTATAGTCTCAGCTACTCAGGAGGCTGAGACAGGAGGATTGCTTGAGCCCAGGAGTGCAAGTCCAGCCTAGGCAACACGAGGAGATCTCTCTTTAAAAAATTATAAATTCATATCCAGCCACTGCCCATCGTGCTGTTGCTGCTGCTCAGAGGTAAAACAGGGAAGGAGTCAAGTGCAACTCTATCAGTAGAAGCCTTTTTCTTGTTCAACCTTCCACAGCCCAGTAGCCTCAGGTAATTTTTCAGAAGCAGGATATCCAGATCAGGCCCCAGCCATTCTCTTACTGCTGAAGGGGTAGCAACCGCAATGGCTATCTTAACTAAGGACTTCACCAAGTGCTCTGAATAAGGCAGCTATCTGAGGGAAACTCAGACCTCCAGTGGGGAGGAGGAGTCTCAGAAAGAAGCACCTGGCCCTGTGCCACAGGGTGCTGATCTCTTTCAGCCTACAACACTCACAATGACCTCCTCTCCAGACCATCCCATTGATGCAGGTGCTCCACACAATTACTTGGGAGCCTTTTTTTTTCTTTTTCTTTTTTTTTTTTTTGAGACGGAGTCTTGTTCTGTTGCTAGGCTGGAGTGCAGTGGCGCGATCTCGGCTCACTGCAACCTCTGCCTCCCGGGTTCAAGCGATTCTCCTGCCTCAGCCTCCTGAGTAGCTGGGACTACAGGTGCGTAGCACAACGCCTGGCTAATTTTTTGTATTTTAGTAGAGACAAGGTTTCACCATGTTGGTGATCTCCTGACCTGTGATTCGCCTGCCTCAGCCTCCCAAAGTGCTGGGATTACAGGCGTGAGCCACCGCCCCCGGCCTCGGTAGCCTTTTTACTGCAGCATTTCTCAACTCTGAATATGTAACTTTTATAAGGGGCTTGAATCTATGCTGTTTTCTCCACAAATAATCAACTCCTCGTGTCTCTTCTTTCATTATACTTTGATAGTTGATTCTGTAACTTAAAATTATATTCAGGTGCTAGTTGGTAACTACTTCCTACTACTCTCCTCAGTAGATGGGGTGGGGCATGGTGATGGATGGCAGGCAGGAACACTGCCTTCAAATTGGGAAGCTCTTTATTTAATAGGTCTGTGAAGGCCATTTCTTCTAGAATCCCAACCTGGACTTCAATCATGTGATTATATTCTCCAGGTGGCCAGGCATAGCTAAGGAAATTTAAGTATTTTTACTCCAGAAAATATCACAATTTAGTTCTTTAGTTGAGATCTTACAAAATAAACAGATTATCTGACTACAGCTAAATCATCTTAGAGATTCAAGCTACTTAAAATTTCTTAAATATGCACTTAACATGTTAATTACAGAAATAACAGAAATGACATATAACTCAGATTGCCCCTCCCTAGGGAGTAATAATCCTGAGGCTTGTTCCAGGATTAAATGTCTTAAATTACTGGTCCTTTGTGGTTTCATCTGAGGCCTGCTTTTGTCCTTGTCCTTTCCTTTTATGCGCCAAATTTATACAGGCATCAGACTTTCACACATAATAACTATCATTTACTTGGCATGCAGGATGAGCTAAGCATTACAGTAGGTCTTAGATACACGACAACAGTCACTAAGGTATTTTACGTGTGAAGGCTTTAGGTAAATAAAACATACCAGTGACCATCTGGGGAGAACAGATGCCTGCAAATGGCTGGGGGAGCCCAAGAAGAGACTCCTAAAGCAGCCTGGCTGGGAGTTGGACGAGGTAGCCCCTGGTGGGCATCAGCAAACAACACCCCTTTTAAAATAAAGGCCTTAGCAGCAGCCTTAGAAGCAAAAGTTTTTCTCTGACCTTCTCCTGCCCGCGTATCTCTCAATCCCCTTCTCCCCTGAGGCTGGCCACAGAAACTAGAAGATGAGTTTAGAAGCCAGAATTCCTTTTGAGGGATTTTTTACAAAATTATACAGAAAGGTGGAGATAAAGAAATTCTGGCCATAAGATTCTGGCCATAAAGTACTTATCTGATCTACACTGTTTGACTGTAGGTTAAAATCCACATTCCAGAGAGTCTTACCCAGAAAGAAGGAATGCTGCTTAGAGAGGTCAAGAAGCGTCTGGACACACAGGCCTTGCTGGGTTTCCCCATTCTGTCTATTCGCATTAGATCAGACCCTTTTTTCCAATTGTGTTTCTACATGGCTGTCTATACTTTCTTGAATCTAAGCATAAAAATGGACAATTTCCCCTGTATCTTTGGGTCTTCATTCTGAAGGTTTCCATATCATCTAAAACTATGATCAAATAAATTTGTATGCCTTTTATCCTATTAATCTGCCTCTTGTCAGTGATTTTCAGCAAACCTTCAGAAAGCAAAGGGGAAGTTTTCCTTTGGCCTTGACACCCCTAAACCATGTCCTTATGGATGCATAAGAGGAAGTGAGAGACAATCTAAGAGGTTGTTGTGATAGGAAAACCCAGGCTGGAATAACAGTGATGGTGGTAGTGGGGATAAACAGAAATACATGGATTCCGGTGACATTAAGGTATTAGAATCAACAGGCCCTGCAGGCTCATAGGAAAGGAAGATGAGAAATGCTTAGACTACGAGTCCTGTCTGACTTTACCTACTGGGTTCACTAAGTAAGAAGGGCCTTTTAAATCTAACTCTTCCTTCACCAGTTTCAGCAGGAAATCTTAGCTCCCATTATGTAGACAGAGTAGAAAAAATAGATGCTATTACATGGAAACATTAAATTATATAACTGAATCAACCAAATTATATTTATTCCTTCAACCAATAAATGTTTGTGGCACTCTTGCTAAACGTAAGCACTGGGCAAGCTCTGGAAATACAGCAGTAACTGAGGACTTTGCCTTTCCCCATCCTGTCCCATCTACCCACTCCTCCTCATGGGAGAGGTGGCATATCCCTTCTGATCATAGCCCAAAGCCTCCTCCTATGCCATGACTCCCATTCCCACAGGACTTCTTGTGACTTCAGCACTTTTTACTGTGACTTCAACCTACGCTTCATTTTCACCTTTGTCAACATTTTTCATGCTCAGATTTATTCCATCTTAAAAAAGTAAAAAGCCTCTCCTTAGGAAATGTATCACTATCAAATGTTAAATGTGCATATACTTCGACCTCACAAATTCTACTTAATTCCTGTACACATTTGGAAAAATATAAATATGCATAAGTACGTTAAGATGTTGAGTGTAACATTATGAGAGACACCAAAATTTCTAAGTAAAACTAAAATATCCAGACAACACTACAGCACAATAGAATAGTATGCTTCTACTTTAGGGAGTAACATGTCTATAATATACAGAACAAAAACACAAACTCTGGCCAACGACATAGCAATAAAGCCAATTTTTGTAATGTAAGTGTGTATGAGAGAGCGAGCAATAGCACATGTACAGAAAAGTCTTGAAGGATACACCTCAAACTATTAACAGTGGCTATATATGAGAGAATGCAATTATGGAGATGATTCTCAGTTATACTTTCTAATGTTTAGAACTTTTACAATGACTCATTGTAAAATATATTGCTTTGTAATCAGAATAAAACAATAAAGATAAAAGGTTATCAAAAAAGTTAAAACAACTTTAATCAGCCTTTCCACTGCACCTATTGCATTATAACATAGTCCTTACTACTACTGATAAGGTCAAAGTACGCTGGCACTCCTCTACCATGGACTCAGCCCCCATCAGTCACCAGCCGGCTCTAAGGTCCATAGTGACTTGCATGCTGCTAAACCTAATGCCCATTTTACATTTTTGCCTTACTTGACATCTCAATGAGCTTTGACACGGCTGGCCACGACTTCTTTTGAAGACTCTCTCCTCTTGGTTTCATTCTCTTAGAGGGTCTTCCATTTCTCTGATTTCCTCCATTGGTGCCTCCTCCTTGACTGCGCCTTGACTTCTGAAAATATTCAGGGCTCCATCCAAGCCCTGCTCCTCTTTGTCTGCTGGCAACTGTTAACACAGGTAGACTAAAGGTTCCAAATGCATTGCTCTATTTCAGCCATCTCTTCTGAGCCACAGATTCACATATCCAACTGCCTATGCAACATCTTGACTTGGAAATGTCCCAGGCATCTCAGACTCAGTATTAACACACAGGACTTATGCTTCCCTCTCAACCACAAACACACTCAAAGCTGTTCTTCAATATTTCTTGTCTGCATAAATGGTAACCCCCCTTATTTGGCTGGTCAAGCCAGAAACCTGGTTGTCATCCTTGACTAGCCTCCCTTCCGCATCCCCCACAGCCAAACATTCACTCTCCTATGGTGCTGAAGAGTTCTTGACTGTCTTCCTCTCTTCATCTCATCCTGCCAAGCCCCTTGCATCTGTTATTGGGACTATTGCACCAACCTCCTGACCGCCCGCCCACCTGCCAGCAACTTTCATCCCCTTTTAATCACTTATCTTTTCAGTAGCCAAAGCAATCTTTGAAAATAAAATTCTGACCCAGTACTTTTCTGCTTTAAATACTTTAATAGCTTCCCATTAGGAAACCACTTTCAAATTTAAGATAACAAACAGATGTTATTTCTGTAATGGGGAATGATATGGTTTGGCTGTTTGTCTCCTTCAAATCTCCTGTTGAAATGTAATCCCGAATGTTGGATGCAGCATCTAGTGGGAGGTAATGGACCATGGGGGTAGATGTCTCATGAATGGCTGAGCACCATCCCCATGCTTATGAGTTCTTGCTCAGTTCACATGAGATCTGGCTGTTTTAAAAGAGTATGGTATTCTCCTCTCTCTCTTGCTCCTGCTCTCGCTATGGGACATGCTGCCTCCCCTTCGCCTTCCGCCATGATTGTAAGCTCCCTGAGGCCCTCCTAGAAGCAGATGCCAACAGTGCACTTCCTGTATAGCCTGCAGAACTGTGAGCCAAAATAAACTTATTTTCTTTATAAATTACCCAGTCACAGGTATTCCTTTACAGCAACACAAGAATGGAATAACATGGGAAAAAATAAGACCAATGATTTTTAAAGAAGGCTGGTTAAAAAGAGACTACAAGCATCATGAGGACAGAAGCTGTACCTATTTAGTTTGCTGTAGAACCTCAGTAGTTAGCCAGAATCTTTGTACACAGTTGACCCTAATACATATTTACTAAATGAATAAATAAGGTAGGGTTGAGGAAGATATATTTTTGTTCATTTTTTGTGCCTTGTTTTATAAGATGAAACTTGTATTCATATTACCTATTCACACACACACATATACACATACACACGTTGATGGAAAACAGTGAAAGAAAAACACAGGAGGATCACTGATGGAGAGAGGCATAGGTGAAGGCATTAACATTTATCAGAAAGATGACAGATGGGAGAAGCAAAGATGAATGTAAACATGCATTTATATATGCATTATATATAAAATATACATATATTCTCTCTCTCTCTCTCTATATATATATAAAAACACATATATGATACAATTTACATGCACACAATGTATATGCATTTTTGGAGGAAGGGAGATAAAAGAAGTTGAGGCAGTAGCCCCTGCAGGTTTCCTTTCCTTTCTGATTTAAGAAAATGATCTACTGAGAGGCCAAGAGGGTGTGGAATAGAGGAAGACAGTGAGAGTTTGAAACAGTTTCTGTGATTGATAGGAGAGCATCTGCTGACTCGGTGTGCCAGGATCAGTTTCCATTCTGCTGGGTTTTTCTTCTGAGCTCTGTAAATATTCAAGACTCCAATTTTCTTTTTGGCTTCCTGTCCCAAGGCAATGTTTTCCCAGAATCAGTGCAAGAATCAAATGTGTAACAATAACCAGGAGAACTATGCAAAATGATTCCTACACCTTGCCTGATGGAGATTCTGTGCTAGTAATTGGTGAGGGGTTGGGTCCCATGTACATGGCAATTTGTGAAGCACTGCCCTTTGGTCTGTAGGCCACAGGGTCACTGATCTCACAACCACATTTTCTCCTCAGTCATTGTACTGACCACAGCTGAGCACACTGGGTTACTGATCAAACTCGTCACTCAAAGTCACGGTGACATGCCATGTCCACTTTGTCTTTCCATCCAGCTGAGAAGCAGCAACTTAGAAAAGAGAAAAAAAATATACAGAGATGGGCGTATTATCTTTTCAAACATGGCTTTGATGGGAAGGACACATTTCCTGATGGGTGCTCCCAGGATGGCCATCCTTGCCAGAGGGCAAAAGGGGAAAAAATAGACCTCTATTATCTTTCCTGTTCTTCTGTTCAAAACTAACATTTTATCTGGCTATTGAGAACATGAATCCAAGTGTGCTTTGGAGCTGAACTGTTATCAGCTGAAAATAGCCCAGAGGAAAAAAAATCCACAATTTTTAACCTTTTAACAGCTCTTGTTCATGAAATGTGGGTTGCAATTTTACCTGACTTTGAAAATGTCAGAATTACTGAGACTGACTAAAAAATACAAGGAGAAACTTAACTTCACATTTCTTCAACTGGCTGCCACAACTCTGTTTCCTATTCCGGTGTTCAGTTACATACAATTATCTCAACTTCTTGGAAATAAATCTATGCGTAAAAAGAGATCTTAAAATCATTTTTAATTCCTTAGTCTTATGGAACAGAAATAATGACAAGGCAGGATGCCCAGGATTAAAGAGTTTGTAGCAAATGTGGGAATGGAACCCAAGTGTCCTAAACACTGACCCAGGGGCTTTCCACGTACTCGCCCCATAATGTAACAAAAGAATTACGGTGAAATGGGGACTCAGAGGTCACACAGAAATTTGTTTCAGAAGTGTGATCAAATGCCTTGTAAACAATTAAAAACTCATGTCGGTGAAACTTTATTTAAAGATGGAAGACTGAATATATGCATTTAGCTCTGCCCCCTCCTCAAGTACTACCAGAACATAAACCAATAAAGACAAAGAAAATAGAGGAGGAGAGACAGTAACACAATTTGGGGAGACATTGTGTTAGGCAAGTGCAACTACTTAGCCAATTGGAGAAAGCTAAATACTAAAATAGGAAAGCCTCGAAGCAATTTCATTTAAATTATAAGCCCTCAAGAGGCTGGCAGCACAGGCTCCTCTGGAAGTGGGACTGAAGGTAGGGCAGGAGAATGGTCGTAAGTCTGTTTATTGAGGAGTTGGACCTCCAGATTCCCTTCCTCAAGGCTTAAAGACAAGTGGTTGCCTCCCAACCCCACCCTACCTAGGAAAAGACTTGAAAGGTATTCTCTGGAAAGAGTGAACAGAGGCTCTTCAGACAAGAGGATACTAGGCACAGTTGAGGATGGGGATCCCATACTGAAAAGACAGATTACACAAAAGATTACTGCTGAATGTTGAGACTCCTAGACTTCTACTTAGCTTTCTGACTAGCTGTATTTTCTCTTGGTCTGATTAACTTGGAGGGGTGGGTGGAGGGACGGCCTAAAATTACTAACAGAGTTTCCTAAACAAACAGCCAAACAGGTCACCCTAAAGTGAAGTGCATAATTGCCAAATGCCATCCACTACTACAGAACTTCCAGCCATCTTTCTAGACAGCTACTCAAAAATTAGAAGGGACAAGACTTCCCAGACACTGAGAGGGCATCTAACAGAGAAACAGCAAAGCAACTTGGTGAAGAGGGAGAAATCACATGAAAAAGACGCTTAAAACAAACAACAAAAAACTCTTGCATCATCAGAGATTGAGAAAAGTGCATCCATGAAATAAGGACAAGATGTTACCAAAGGGAGAGAGGGAGAAAGAGAGAAATAGTCAAAGAATAAAAAAAAGAGCTTTTGGAAATTAAAATGATACAGAAGGCTTGAAAGATAAAATTCAGGAAATGTTCAATAAAGTTAAGCAAAAAGAGGTGAAAAATAGGAAACATGGAAAATTGGAGAACCAATTCAGGATAGCCAATATCCAAATAACAGACGTATTCATGGATTAGACAAAATGGAAGGCAAGTAACTGTCAAAGAAATTTCCCCAAATTGAAAAGGATTAGGAATTAAAGAACACCTTTCTCCCACGACTGAAAACAAACTGAAGGACACTTTTTTCCTTTAAAAAATGGAGTTGGGGGTTGGGCACGGTGGCTCACACCTGTAATCCCAGCACTCTGGGGGCTAAGGTGGGGAGGATCACTTAAGGCCTAGAGTTCCAGACCAGCCTGGGCAACACAGAGAGACCCTGTCTCTACAAAAAAATTTAAAAATTAGCCAGGTGTGGTGCATGCATATAGTCTTAGCTACGAGGTGGAGGGTGGTTTGAGCGGGGAGGATAGCTTGAGCTAGGAGTTTGAGGGTGGAATGAGCTATGATTGTGCCACCTACTCCAGCCTGGGCAACAGAGCAAGACCCTATCTCTAAAAAATACATATAATAATTTTTTTAACTTAAAAAAATGAATTGGGTGGGGCTTGCCATAGTGAAAGGGTCTCCTGAGTTTCCACCATACTAATCATTATGGAATTTCTAAGTACTGCGTTCAAAGAAAAAAATCCACAAAATTCCAGAGCGGAAAAGTTTTTCATACAAAGGATCATAAGTCAGAATGGCAGGAACTTTTCAAGAGCAACTCCTGAAAGTAGAAGGCTTCAAAATTCTGAGAGCAGATAATTTCCACCTTTGAATTATATACTTAGTCAAGCTGTCAACTGAAAGCCAGAGAAAAATACAAGCATTGTCAGACCCGCAAGTTTAAAAAAAAATTACCTGCCTTTAACCCTTTCTACATAAGACACTGAGAAATATGCTCCATCAAAATAAAATAGTAAACCAACAAAAAATAAGACATAAATGTAGGGCTCCAATACAAGTTCTCAGGATGGTGGTGAAAAGGAATCCCTCACTCGGCTGAGGTCTAAAGACCAACCTGGGCAGCGTGGAGGAGATCAGAAGGCTGTGGGAGGAATCTCCCCCAAAGGATGAATTTGACAGGATTCCATGCATGGCTGATTACACTGAGAGGAGATTTACAATTGGGTAAAAGTGTGAGGTTGAATTATTCATAACTATATGAAAAACTAATAATATCAGTATCTGCTGTACAGTCTCCAGAGGAAAAGTAATCAAACTATATTATATAGCTCATCTGTGGAAAGTATTACATAGTTATAATAAAGTAAACACTGCATACTGATCTTACCAAAATTATAACACAATTACAATTGAGGGAATGGGGTTGGGAAAGTTTGTGAGAGAAGGGAAGGGGGCTGGAGTAGGTGAAAAAGAGCTAAATACTTCTGCATCAATAGATAATGCCTAAAACTGAAAAATAGATAAATTATAATTTAATTATGTTAACCAGAGATATAGAGGTAATTACTAAAAGAATCAGCTACAGTTAAAAATCCTGGCCTCTGGGGAACAGCGAACAGAAAAGGTGATGCAGCTGGTTTTCATAACAAAACCTGCAACATTATTTAATTTTTGAGTTATGTAAACATTCTAACTAATTATGTAAAACTTTGACTAAAATAAAAACTTTTCATTTCTCCCCCAATTAAAAAAGGCGGGGAGCTCATGGCATGAACACATATAAACGTAAGAATCACTGTTCTGGCACCTACTATATGCCAGGCACGTGCTAGATGCAGAAGATAAAACAGAAAATGTCCCTTTTTAGGAAGCTTATATTCCACAATAAAAACTAAATATAAGTACTTTTAAAATAACTGACTCTGCTTGGAGATATGAAGGAAATAAACAAGTTGATATAGCAGAGATTAAGAGATGGAAGTATTTCGGGTAGGGTGGGTCACAGGAGCCTCCCTGAGGGGTGATATTTGAGACATGAAGTATGAGGAGTTGGCTATGCAGGGCTAAAAAAAAGAGCATGCAAGGAAAAAGAAAAAACAAGACCATAGTTCTGAAGCAGAAAGTATCTTGGTGTGCTCAAAGATATGATCAAAGATCGGTGTGACTGCAGGGCAGTGAAGACATGAGAGGCTGGGGAACAAGTGAGGTAAACACTGACAGGTAAACAATGGGATGGCACCACACCATCACAGAGCATACTTCTGTGGCAGGAGTGGAAACGACAGACCCAGTCATTAGACTAATGTTGAAGTCCAGGTGACGAAGCTGGCCTAAGATGATAGTAGTGGAGACAGAGAAGATACTCAAAATCATTTTGAAGGTAGAAGTACTGGGGGGAGAGGAAGGACAATAGAAGAGAAACCAAGGATGATATACAGGTTTCTGACTTTGTAAATTGGAAGGATGGTGGTACCATTTACTGAGATGGTGAAGACACAGAGCGCAGAGGCAGGATGGGGTAGATGGGACATGGAAGCAAATCAAGAGTTCCTCCCTGAACATGAGACATCCATCCAGGAGTGCTGTCAAGGAGGGAGGAGGGTACGGCGTCTAGAACTCAGAAGAGCTCAGTGTTGGAGATATACACCTTGGAGAGTCAGCAAATTAATGGTATTTAAAGCCCCTGAAATAGATGAGCATGTAGACAGAAGAGGTATGGCTTAAACCATAGCATGAAGAATTCTCAACATTCCCAGGAGGCCAAGTAATGAAGGAAATGCCAGTAGAGGATCAAGAAATGGCCAGTAGGGAAGGGGGAAGGCCAAGTTAGAAGGTAATTTCAAGAAGGCAATAGAAAACTGCTTAAAGCCACTCAGAGATCCAGTAAGATAGAAACGTATCCATTGGAAGCAGCAACACACAGATCTTGAATGACTCTGCCACAATCAATTTCAGAAGAGTGATGGGAAAAGACACCATACGTAACAGATTGAAAAATAAATGAGTAATGAAGAAGCTGTAGTACATGTAGGCAACATTTTAGAAGTTTTGCTTTAAAAGGAGACAGACAGGCCGGGCATGGTGGCTCATGCCTGTAATCCCAGCACTTTGGGAGGTCGAGGCGTGTGGATCATGAGGTCAGGAGTTCGAGACCAGCCTGGCCAATGTGGTGAAACCCCATCTCTACTAAAAATACAAAAATTAGCCAGGTGTGGGGGCGGGTGCCTGTAATCCCAGCTACTTGGGAGGCTGAGGCAGGGAACTGCTTGAACCCAGGAGTCAGAGGTTGCAGTGAGCCGAGATGGCGCTACTGCACTCCAGCCTGGGCGACAGAGCAAGATTCCATCTCAAAAAATAAACATAAAAAAATAAATAAAAGGAGACAGAGAAACAGGGTAAGAGATGGAGACGGATCTAAGGGTCTAGAGAAAGGTGTTTGATTCTTTAGTATTTTTAACACAGGGATTCCAGAGCATTAATTTACTAACTCCTTCAGTCATACAACTTATCGAGCACCAGGATCAATGTCCTTACAGAGCTTACAATCTACTGGGATAGAGACAACAAACAAATGTACATATACTAATTTCAGTTGGAGATAAATGTTTTGAAGACAAAGCAGGTTAAGAGGATACAGAGTAACAGTGACATTTTAGATAGATAAGTCAGGGGTGACAGCTCTGAGTAGGTGACATTCAAGTGAGAACTGAAGGAAGTGCAGCAGCAAGCATCCTAGATGAGAAAGGAGTTGGGAGGTGACAGAGGGTGGAGAGGATGATGAGGATAGTGGCCAGGCAAGGAGTGACATGTCAAGGGACAGGTGTGGCTAGAGCACAGTTAAGAGACACGCAGAGCAGGAAGAGAAGAGGATGGAGAGGTAGCAGAGGCCTTACAGTACATGGCCAAGAGTTTGAATTTTATACTGTTTGTAGAGAAGCCACTACAGACAGTATAAAGGTGTAAAAGAGAAGGATCACTGTGACTGTTCTATGAACTCAGACCAAGAGGTGCATGAATGGTGGCAGGAAGCGACTACAGGAGTCCTTGCAAAACTTAGTAGTGGCCTGGGCTCCGATTTAGGTGTGGGCGCAGGGGATGTTGGGTGCTTGAATTTGAGAATACGAGGTGTCACAGAAAGGCAGGAATCAAGGATGACTTCAGCTTTGGGGCCTGAGTGACTAGGTGGTATCACTGCATAGGTTAAAACAATGGAGGAAGTATAGACTCACGAAACAAATCAAGAATTTGGTTTTGGAAATGTTAAGTTCAACTCATCTACTAAACAACTAAGTGAAGAAGTAAAGCCGACAGCTGTAAAGCAAGGGAGAGATAAGGAGTGGACATAAGTATGTGGAAGTCATCCACATACAGATGGCATTCAGGGCCTTGCAAATGAATGAGATCACCTAAGGAGTGGAGATGGGGAAGAGGGTCAGGGCACTAAGCCCTGGGTGCTCCAAAGTTTAGGGGCCAGAAGAAGAGAAGGATCCAGCAGGAGAGATTGGGAAAGAACAAGTGAGCAGTGAGCAGAATCAAGATAAAGTAGCATCATGAAGCCAAGTAAAAAAAGAATTTCAGGAAGCAGGGAGTGGTCAGTTGTGCCCCGTGCTGCTGAGATAAGCATGAGCTCCAAGAGAAAGTTCTGGGAGGCTCTGTGACTCATGATGAATGAACAATCCTCTGTGATAACATTCCTTACCCATAAGTGTATTCAGACCACTTAGTAACCCTCAGTTCATTTAGAACACTATGCCTCTGTTTCCAAGGAAGCCTCACCCCATGGCAAGCCTCCTTCAGGATTCTCCCAGGAAGCAACAGAAGAGATCCCTGTGCCTGTGAAATAGAAATGGCTCTAATGGGGAGGCGTAAATAGGAAGCAGACCAAGGCTCACAGCAAAGAACCCAATTTGTTGGAGCAGAACAGAACCATTCTACAAATTCCTACATTTTTCTAACTCACAGCATGTGAGAAGAAAATCAATAGCAATCAAGTTTTATCATTCCCATTTTACCAATGAGGAAACTAAGGCACAAAGAGGTTAAGTGACTTGCCCAAAATCACACAGCTAGTAGGTAGGAAAGCCAAGATTCTCAAACCTAGGAATCAAACGAAAAGAGCAAATTATCAACTATTTTGCTTGGCTGCCTTCCCCAAATCAAATGTGTAGTTTCTGGGAGTCAGATCACAAAATTCTATCTGACTATATGACTTTTGATCAAAATTGGCCATCCTTTCTTCCATTTTAAAATATTTAATTGACAAAGATTGAATATATTCAAGGTGTACAATGTGATTTGATATACACTGTGTAACAATTACCACAATCAAATTAACACACTCCATCACCATTCATACTGTACATTAGATCCCCAGAACTTAGTCCTCTTTAACTTAAACTCTGTACCCTTTGACCAACATGTCTCATTTCCCCCAGCCCCCCGGCAATCACTGTTCTATTCTCTGGTTTTATGACTGTTTTAGATTTCACATGTAAGTGAGGTCAAACAGTATTTGTCTTTCTGTGTCTGGCTTATTTCACTTAGCATAACATCTCCCAGGTTCATCCATGTTGTCACAAATGGCAGGATTTCCTTCTTTTTTAAGGCTGAATAACATTCCACTGTATATATGGACCAAAATTTCTTTATCCATTCATCCATCAATGGATACTTAGGTTGTTTCCATATCTTGACTATTGTGAATTATGCTGCAATGAACACAAAAGTGTGAATGTCTCTTCAAGATACTAAGATCATTCCCTTTGGGTATATACTCAGAAGTGGGACTGCAGGATCATGTGGTAGTTCTATTTTTGATTTTTGTTTTTAGAATCTTCATACTGTTTTCCATAATGGTTATGCAATTTATATTCCCAATGGTTTACAAGGATTCCCTTTTTTCCATACCACTGCCAACACTTTTTCTCATCAACTTATTTGTGTTTATTAAGAACTCTAAGGGAAGCTAAAGCCAGCCCTCTTCCACCAGCATGGTAAACGCTCATAGTTAATAATGTCTCTTCTGGAGAATTCTCTCTTCTTATGACATGAGAGGCCATATTCAGTGTAAAAACACAAGGACATCAGACTTACTTGGATTTAAATTTTGGCTCCTCTCTCTAGTGAACAGGTAAATGTAAAAATCTGGTCAGAATAAATCCTAATTTGCAGGGTAGTTATAAAAGTTTGATGACAGGACATAGATGAAAACACTGAAAATGCAGTCTTACATATTTAAAAAACCCTTTTTTCTCTCCTGACCCTTCTCTTCACTTCCAGAATGCACTGCTGAGCCTCTGAAGTTTGTGTGATAGAAGTTGGTTACTCATTAGTAGTTTTTGTTAAATTTTTCACCTACATAGCAGCAAAAAAAAAAGAAAAGAAAAAAAAACCCAAAAAGGTGGTTCTTCAAATCTTCATGTTTTATCTTCACAAAAAATTTGCATCTTTAAACAATAAAAGTTATTTAATATAAAAACGTTTTATATTTACCTCCAACTAAATTGATTTGCTTTATCTTGAAAGTTTCAAGAATATTTGTTTTAGGAAGATTTTCCATGATATATGGTGACTTTACTTCCACACTGCCACATTACCATTTGCTCTCCAATATGAAGGCTCTTAAAAATAATGCATGAAAGTATGAAGACTTAGGATTTCAAAGAGGTTCTTCACATTTCAATTATTATTCTGTCCTGTTTGCACCATCTTAACATCTTGGGGTCTACTCTACAACGAGGCCCAGTTTGCAGTTTTAGTTCCAAAAAATTTTAACTATGTATTTTTCACCCAAGAAAATTATTACTTTTCAGCATCTCAGCAGTGAGCTTCCTGGCCACTTGTAGGCTAAGCAGATACTAGCTGTGATCTTGCTTTTACAGAAAAGTCTCTGGTACAGCTACAAGGGTAAATGTAAATAGTGCAAATCTGAAAATACTTTTCCAGTAAAAATAGAACATTGGCCAAGGATGATCCTAAGTACACTGCAATGACAGAAGATAGAGTTTTTAAAAATCATTTGAAAAGACAAAACATATTAATCCAAAGAAGCCAAAGGATTTAATTCAGCTATACTAACAGAATGTGGCTGCTTTAAAATATTATAGATTGGTGCAAAAGTAATTGTACTTTTTGCTATTAAAAGTAATGACAATTACTTTTACTTTTGCATCAAATAATCAGTCCTTAAAATGTATTTTTATAAATAGCATCATTTACTTTTGCACCAAATAATAATTCAGTCCTTAAAATGTATATTTATAAAATAGCATCATTTACTTCAGACAACTTTTTGTTGTTAGGTAATGCCACAATACTCCCTTTTGTTATGCCATATACATTTGTATGTTATTCGAAGGTCCCTGGATGTTGTACATAGCTTGAGTAACATGTAAGGTCACTGAAATCTTGTTTTCATTATTTTGTCATCAAAATATCCTTGCCAAACATTTTTTGCTAAAACTCTCTCTCCTGGAAGGCAGGGTGGGAAGTCCTTCTTGCTTTTAAGATCCTGGCCCATAGTACAGTGAGCCATAGACAGGTAAGAAATAACTTTTGCAGCCGGGCATGGTGGCCCACACCTGTAATCCCCACACTTTGGGAGGCCGAGGTGGGTGGATCACTTGAGGTCAGGAGTTCAAGACCAGCCAGGTCAACATAGCAAAACCCTGTCTCTACTAAAAATACAAAAATTAGCTGGGTGTGGTGGCATGCACCTGTAATTCCAGCTACTTGGGAAGCAGAGGTTGCAGTGAGCTGAGATTGCACCACTGCACTCCAGCATGGGTGACGGAGTGAGACTGTCTCAAAAAAAAAATAACTTTTGCTTTCTGAAGTTCTTTTCTGAAGCATGCATATAGGAATGGATTATTTTCAGCAATCCATGTGGACTGAGGAATAAAAAGTTACAGAACTTCAATTCAACAAATATTATCTGAAACCCCACTACTGTTACAGAAATAACAGGAAAGACAGGCCTGTTCTCCCGGAACTGACAGTCGGAGGGGAAAAAGAAGGAAGGATGCTGTTCAAATACAAAGGAAGGGGATCTTACCCAGGCTGGATGGGAGGTGAGTATGAGGAGTCAGAAAAGGCCTCCTGGAGGCAGGAACATCACCTGAAGGATGAGGAGGCATCAATAAATACAACAGGCCAATATAAGGGATGGTGTTAGGCTGCAGACAGAGCAGGAGGCGGCATCAGACCTGCCTCTGTAACAACAAGGACCTGACCTCGTACAAGCCATTTGACCATTTTTGCTCTCATTTTCCTTATCTATAACATGGGATGGCTAAGATGTCAGTTAACCTTAACTCTTGCTGTGCATCAAAATCACCTGAGCACCTTCTAAAAAGAATGGCTCCTTCCTCTGAAAGGTCGTTTCAGGTGGTGGGACCTCAGTGCTTCTTTCATGAGCTCTCCAGATGATGCTAATCTGCAGCCAGGGCTGAGAACCACTGGATGAGATGAGCTCTCAGGACCCTGACATCTCAGGTCTGTGGTTCACTACCCCTGGTGCACAATAACATCTTCTGGGAGCTTTTAGAAATCCCAGTGGAGGCTGCATTCCAATAATTAAACCAGATCTCTGGAGGTGGCCTCAGG
Source organism: Homo sapiens (assembly GCF_000001405.40). Taxonomy (NCBI): domain Eukaryota; kingdom Metazoa; phylum Chordata; class Mammalia; order Primates; family Hominidae; genus Homo; species Homo sapiens. The sequence continues at coordinate 45,269,973 of NC_000012.12, read as the reverse complement.
CATCAGTAATTTCAAAGTTCCCAGAATGATGCCAAGCTACAACCAAGGTTGACAACTACTGTTCTGGGCCCTCTTAATACTTCAGTTCCCTATTATGGTCAATGAAGGATGGGAAAATTAAAAAGAAAACTACATTGAATTAACAAGAAAACTAAATGCCAAAGGCCACCGAAGGATCTTAAACGGGACTGTACCACACATGGCTGTGTGCATCAACCAGTGGGAAATGCCCAATCCAAAATGCTCTCAGGTCTAAATTTAAGATTCAATGGAATACTTCTATAAAATGGCTCCACGGTGTGTTCTCTGCAATACTTAGTTAGAAATTGATTTGCATGGTTGACTGTAATATGAACATTACATTCCCTACCCCCGAGGTTACTTAAATCCACTTATTAGGCAATGGTGAACTAAACAAACAGTAATTAGAAACACTCCAGACTACCTTTTAAATCTGTTGCTAAATTATGTTTTTCCTGCACCAAAGCCCATACACACAGCATGTCCACAAGCATCACAAAACCAAAGCCTCAGAAATATTTACACTAATAAGGGCATAAGCTACCTCTGGGCCTTCACACTGGATTCTGCAGGGAAGTAAGGGCTGCCTTAGAAGAAGACTATTCATTACTGTTATTTCTCACATCTGGGTAAATAAAGCACTGCCCCCATGTGGTTAGAAATCCCAGGTGAAAATGAACTCTCCAGGGGTCTGGAAATGAAGAATACCTCTGATAGACTGTCTCATTTCCTGAAATGAGTCAGAAATGAAAGTAATTCCTCAGAAAAGAACATCTGCACTATGGCACAGCTTATAAAATAATGCCAGATGATACCTGTGGCTAAGAAGCTGGCCCCAGAGAAGAAGGGAGGGCCTGGGAACAGCACCAGAGCCTCTGCATTGCACTTAATCTCAAGGCTGCCGCTGTTAGCTTGGAGGGTCTGCAAATCCAATGAGCGGCCAGGCGTCCTGGTCTCCACCATAAATCTTGATTAGCAGTAAGACTGCTCACATTCCATTAGAGAGCTGGCCCCTTGCCAATGGGTGGAAGCAGCCAGAAAGGATGCATGTGCTGCCCTGAGCACGGAAATAGCAATTCTTACAAGAAAAATTGTTTTCCTTAGCTAAAAATAGTCTATGCCCGTTAATGATCCAGACAGACCTTTCTTCCTGGGGAGGACTATGACCTAATGTTGCCAAGGAAAGCCCTTTCCCTTCCTATTATTGCAGGAAGAAGAGGTATTGGCATGTGGTCAGGTACTGGAGGACAGGAAAGAATGAAATGCCTTTCACAACAACTCTTGTAAAGACCAATAAACAGGAAGGTGAAAAACAAAGATGGTTTTCACCAAGATCAGAGCCCAGTTATTCTTCTTAGGTAGCTCTTCATTATTTTTTTCATCCTGGTTAAGTATGTATGTATGTATTTTATTTATTTATTTATTTAATTTTTGAGACAGGGTCTCACTCTGTCACCCAGACTGGAATGCAGCGGTGCAATTTCAGCTCACTGCAACCTCCACCTACCAGGTCCAAGCAATTCTCCTGCCTCAGGCTCTCGAGTAGCTGGGATTACAGGCATGTACCACCACACCTGGCTAATTTTTGTATTTTTGTAGAGATGGGGTTTCACCATGTTGGCCAGGCTGGTCTTGGAATCCTAACCTCAAGTGATCTGCCTGCCTTGGCTTCCCAAAGTGCTGGGATTACAGGCATGAGCCACTGTGCCCAGACCTGGGTTTGTAAAAGGAATCCAGCACTACTGTTTGTAATGGAGTAGTGGGGGAACTGGAAACAATCTACACGCCTGTTAATAGGTGATTAGGTAAATTATAGTACATACACAATGGAATACTATGTAGTTATTTAAAAGCCTAATCTGTGTGCAGATATAGAGATATCTGTACTCTCTCTGACACACTAATACATTAAAAAATGCACCTGGCCTTTTTAAACATTTGTGTAAATGATTTTAAAGAAGTTTCCTAAAATAGGAGAGGGTTGGGAGAGAGAGTTATTTTTCTTTTATACCCTTCAATACAGTTTTGACTTATCTTTTCATATACCTGTACCCTTCCCCTTTTAATAATAGGCACTAAATAAGTGGAGGGCTATTTCCGGTTTCTTCTTTATGCTAGCCTCTTCATACATAATTTACAACAAGTAAGTGCTATTTTTTTTGAGATGGGAGTCTTGCTCTGTTGCCCAGACTGGAGCACACTGGCATGTTCTCAGCTCACTGTAACCTCCACCTCCCTGGTTCAAGCGATTCTCCTGCCTCAGCCTCCCGAGTAGCTGGGATTACAGGTGCCCGCCACCATGCCTGGCTAATTTTTATATTTTTAGTAGAGACGGGGTTTCACCACACTGGCCAGGCTGGTCTCAAACTCCTGACCCTCAAGTGATCCACCCGCCTCGGCCTCCCAAAGTGCTGGGATTATAGGCGTGAGCCACCATGCCTGGCTAGTAAGTGCTATTTTAAATAGATGTTATGGAATCATAACTCCCCAAAAATCAGATGTGGAAGCCCTAACCCAAAGTACCTCAAAATGTGACTGGATTTGGAAAAGACAGGGTCTTTAAAGAGGTGATTAAGTTGAAAATGAGAGTGTGAGAGTGTGCCCTAATCCAATCAGACTGGTGTCCTTAAAAGAGGAAGAAATTTGGACACAGAAAGATACCAGAGTGCATGCCCACAGAGGAAAGACCATGTGAGGGCACAGAAAAGGTGGTCGTTAGCAAGCCTCAGGAGAAACCAAATGTATTGACACCTTGACCTTGGACTTCCTAGCCTCCAGAACTGTGAGAAAATAAGTGTCTGTTGTTTAACAACCCAGTCTAAAGTATTCTGTCATGGCAGCCCCAGCAAACTAATATAACAGATAAATAGATGGATGATTCAATTCAAATAGCACAACATGGATACAGTCACCCACAAGAGTCTTCAACAGGTGAAAAGCCCACTATGTCCACCGTGATGCTGATGGCCTCATCTGCTTTGTGAAGAAACAGGAGTTACTGACTAAATCATGTTCACCCTGTTAAGTGGCTCAAGCTGGGACCTGAATGGGTTTCCCACTTCGTCATTTTTAACAAACCCCATAACTCAAAGAACTAGAGCCATATTATACACACACACACACACACACACACACACACACACACACTTGTTTTTTGAGACAGGGTCTTGTTCTGTCACCCAGGCTGGAGGGCAGTGGCACAATCTTGGCTCACGGCAACCTCCACTTCCTGGGATCAAGCAATCCTCCTGCCTCAGCCTTTCAAGTAGCTCGAACTACAAGTGCATGCTACCACGCTCAGCTAATTTTTTAACGTTTTTGTAGAGATGAGGTCTCACTATATTACCAGGCTAAGCCTCATATATTTTATTAGTGACTTTTAAAAGCTTGGCTTATAGTCAAAAGGCTGATAACTAAGAAAAGGGAAAGTGTCACAGTAATATTAATTCAATTTTTTAAAAAAAGACTTGGCACCAATGTTTAAAACAAGTATGGAAAAACAAATGATATGCCATATTTATGTGCCAACCTAATCTTTTATACTTTAATACATACGGTCTCAGACCACAATGCAATATATTTTTAAAAGTATGGTAATCCAGGGCTAAAATTTCTTTATAAAATCTTATAGATTTTTACAAATTTATGAATATTTTTAAAAACTGGAGTTTAGAGATCAATGACATAGAACCACAGACTTTGCCTATAGAATCTTTAAGCTATAAAGGCTTAACCTATAAACCTATAGTCTTTAACTTGCAAAGATTTGTAAGTGGGTTAAGATGCAGACAACTGAAAAGATCACAACCCAAAGATAAATATGTGGTACAGGCAGTTCAGGCTACAGACATTCAGAGGAAGGTGGAATCACTTTTGCCTTGAATGGCCAGGGGAAGTTTCACCAAGGATATAGGGTCTAAGCCAATCTGGGATTAGAAATAAAAGCTAAGGAGAAGTGATTTATGTTCAGGTCTGCCTTATCCTTGAGTATATTGTTCTGAAGGCAAGAACTGTGTCCCTAAGATCCTAACAGTGCCTGGCAAATAGTAGGCATCTGCCAGCTGGGGCAGGGAAACAGGTGAACACACAGCATGCTCATGTTAGGGTAGGTCTATACTGCAGGATTTTTGTAAGGAAGTTGCAGGACATAAGATTTAAAAAGTTGGAGCCAACCTGCAGGTACACTGAGGTTTGCGCTTTATCCCTACACAGTATAGAGTCTACGAAGGTGTTTCTGAAGGAGAAAAGCACATGATGGGGCCAGCAGTGATGTGCAGAATGGACTGGAGGTGGTAGAGAAATGACAAGAATCGGGAAGGTTAACTGGATGATCAGCTGGGTAAAGTCTCAGCTTCCTAATCTGTAAAATAGGCATCATACTACCTCTGTTCATAGGGCTGCTGTGAATATTAAATGGAATAAGGATGGTAAGGTACATAACACGAGGTCTGACAGTAAGCACTCAAGACATAACTGCTATCATTATCATTTATTATTATCATTCCACACTGCAAGATATAGAAGAAAATGAGCAAGAACAAATGTGAGGTGTGGAGCCAGGGTATATAGGTCACTTCAGGGTCTCCTCAAGTCCCTTACACAGAATGGTAAGGCCATCTGTCTTTTTGGAAATGGAGTGTGCTATATTTATTCCTTAGTTCTCCATAACTTCGTATTTCAATACAGTAGATCCAACACGGGAGGAAGAGATGTCTGAAATGATCTTTAAAATCGAGACTACAAAATCAACTTTACGTTGCTTTTATATAAAAGTCACTATACAGATTAATGCCAATCAGTTTTGAAACACAAAATTAATGGACTCAGCTATAAATCCAGGAAAACCATTTTCATAATGAAAATGCCAATGCCTTAATTTAAGAATGGAATTGCCAACATAAAAGACTTACAGTCAATGAGGAATTGCTCCTTTCACTCATAAATGACAGAGCCTGATAACTCTGAATTGTTTCTGAAACTCTGATGATCAGAAATTGTTGAGAATATAAGCTACAGGATTTTTCCAACTGCACAATTACCACTTGATATTGGAGCTCACAGCCTCAGACCAAATTTGGTGTGTTGGCTTTGTACGTTCCTTTCTCTAATTCTTATTATCAGGGACCCAAGGTCTTATATTTAGTGTCATGATACAGATATGAAGTTCAACTGAAGATAATAGCACTTTGTCTAATACAAAACAATGCTAACTTTTTTTGTATATTTGATCTTAGAAGCAAGATTTACTGTACCACAAAAAATTTTTTGTATTTACATAAATATGTATGTATCCACAGTCAGGTTTCACCAACTAACCATTGGTAAAATTAATGTTTCAGATGTCTGTGCTATTCCTACTCTCAATATTAATCATCTATTTTAAAACTTTACTCTTTGGTCCATGACAGGTTGCCACACTTACTATATCAATGGTGGGTGTATTACTTCTTAAAATTAATAAAAGCCAACCCCCCAAAAAATTATCCAAAGGGACTAAATAAGACATAACTGATTACTTTTACCAGAGTCAACAGAAACTTTCCAAGAAACAAAGAGGCCAAGATGAAGAGAACAATCAACTGTCAAACCAATTAGTAGGCCAAGGACAGAGTAGGATAAGGAATGCAAACTTATCAGCATAATTTCCAGTTCACAGGCATTAGCCAAGACATACATGTATTCAACACTCGAATAACACATCTTAGAAGGAAAGAGCAGAGCACAAAATCAGGAATCAAGATGTGGGAAGAAGAAAAAATTCCTTTAAGGAGAGAATAAAGCCTGAAGACAACATGCAGCAGGTAATGGGGTGACCAGCAGCTAAATCAAGAGATATGAGCTATAACCCCTCATTACACCCACCAAGCTGGTTTCCTCGGTTTCCTTCCGAATGTTCCTTAACTTTTCTAAGTCTTAGAATCTTTAGGTTTAGTTTGAACAGGGAAGATGATATGATATCCAAAGGTCTCCTCCAGCTCTGATAACAGACTGGGAGTTTGTTTAGACGATGAACAGATACGTTTAAAGGGGAAAAAATAGGCTACTTTTATTTCAGTGACTTGAAGTTCACAAGAATGAAATTTCACAGAAGGGAGCCAAGCTGTCAGCACGCACAGTGAACACAGCCCTAAAGCATTTGTCAAACCAAGGCCTCTGAAATGAGTACAAACACCTGGATGGTGTGCATGTTACCTGCCACATAACCTCAGCCTCAGCCACAATCCCTTTGCCTCTGACCCTCCTTGGCTCTTCCCAGTTGGATACACTCACTTCTCAGCCCCCATTCTTCATGTAATCCTGCCAGAGGCAAGTTGTACACACATCTATAAAAAGTTAGGAGAGGTTTAAGGTGAAACAGGCAATGGAAATCCTTGGTGCAGCTCCTAACCTTGAGAATAGCACAGTAGGTAACAATTATTAGTGTCCTAAAAGGACATTTTAGGACAGGCAGGGCAGCTCACGACTGTGATCCCAGCATTTTAGAAGGCCAAGGTGAGAAGAATGCTTGAGGCCAGGAGTTTAAGACCAACCCAGGCAACAAAATGAGATCCCATCTCTCCAGGAAAAAAAAAAAAAAAAAAAAAAGGCCAGGCCAGGCATGATGGTTGTAGTCCCAGCTATTCAGGAGGCTGAGGTGAGAGAATCACTTGAGCCCAGGAATTCAAAGTTGCAGTGATCGCACCACTGTACTCCAGCCTGGGTGACAGAGAAAGACTCTGTCTCTCAAGATAAAAAATAGAACATCTTGTACCGGCCCCTGTTAGAATGCGTGCCCCAGTAATTTCACTTCTCAAGAACTTCACAAAATAATGTGAAATATAGACAAATATTTATACCTACAAATCTCTCTCAATATTATTTATAACAGCAAAAAAATCTGATGCATGCTAGATCTGCAACAATCAAGGAATGATTATGCAAATTATACCTCAAGTTAAGTTCCCCTCCTACATGATCCCATAGACCATGTACTTGCCCCTCTACAGGACTCAACCTGCCTACTAATTGGCCATTTCCTCCAACAGGTCCTGAAGGACAAAAGCCATGTTTTGTTCACTACTTTCGCCACAAAGTATAGTTTATAATAAGCACAAACTAAATATCTGTTGAATGTCTTCTGGAAAACACCTTTAAGTAAATTTTATGTGATGGAATGTTATTCAGCCATTAAATGTGGTTTGTGAAGCCTTCTTAAATATAGGGAGTGCTGATGATGAAAAGCTCTGGAAAGCCGGGCGCAGTGGCTCACGCCTGTAATCCCAGCACTCTGGGAGGCCGAGCCGGGCAGATCACCTGAGGTTGGGAGTTTGAGACCACCCTGACCAACATGGAGAAACCCTGTCTCTACTAAAAATACAAAATTAGCCAGGTGTGGTGGCACACACCTGTAATCCCAGCTGCTCGGGAGGCTGAGGCAAGAGAATTGCTTGAAGCCAGGAGGCGGAGATTGCGGTGAGCCAGAGATCGCGCCATTGCACTCCAGCCTGGGCAACAAGAGCGAAACTCCGTCTCAAAAAAGAAAAAAAAAAAAGCTCTGGAAATGGATAGTGGTGGTGATTGCACAACACTGAATATACTTAATGCCACTGAATTGTACACTTAAAAATGGTTAAAATGGTTAATTTTATGTTATGTATACTTTAACCCAATAAAAGAGATAAACAGAGAGTGCTTATGAGGCAAGTTAAGTGAAAAGGCAGGATACCATAGGTCTAAACCATATAAAACTACATTTGCATTTTTTTAAAAGGCGGGAAAGCAGCATACTAAAATATTCATGGTGGTTTATCTTTGAGGGGTAGTGTTGGGGTGATTTTTGTTTTATTTGCAGTTTTCTGTATTTCCCAAAATTTCTACAATGGCTCACATATAATATGTATAATTGGAAAAAGACATCAAGCAGCATGGATAGAAAGGTTTCCTTATCAGCAGGTTAAACGTGGATCAAAATCATTTACCTTGCTATGATCCTTGATGTATTATACTTGTATACTGCATATCATTTGTGCTTGCCTTCACTGTATAGTCCATAAAACATGCCATTTAAGTGAAAACGGTACCTTTTAAAATTGAAATGTATTATTTAGCTTTTGCTCTGCCAGAAAGTATGCCTTTCAGATGTGATGCACCGTAAGTATGCTTTGCTCAGGCTGAGAAGCAGCAACTGATGGTTGTTTTAGACACACAAGTGACCAACTGGATCAAATGCACAGTTGTTCTCAGAGGTGAAAGACTTTCAGAACCTGTGATGAGCCAGTCTGCAACACCTCAAAGAGACTGAGACATCCAAATGGCCTCAATAAACACTAAACTTGATACATTTACAAATAAATTAGAAGCAAGTCCTTTGGAGTTACACAAACTCAGGACTGAAGTAACAGAGCCAGGACTGCCACTTATCATGCATACAACTGTGAGTGTTCCTGGCCTCAGTTGTCCCACAAATAAATGGGGATAAAAATGCTTCCCTCTTGGGTAAACAAGATGATATTTGCAAATCAGAGCTGGAGGAAACCCTGAGCGTGCTAACAGCAGTTGTCCAATCAATATCATTAATTTCCTTCCTTTCCCCTCTTTAGATCAAGTGTCCAATCCAGGATAGCAAGTGAAATACTAAAAACGGCCCTCTACCTAGAACTAATACAGTTAACATCATAGGAGAATGGGAAGATGTTCTGAATCCTTTTCGAGTTTCACTCCTCAGAAGCCCTCATAAAATGCAAACCAATTTTCCTATTCTTTGTTCCTCAATAACTGGAAAATATTCTCTGTGTCCTTCACATGCCTGGAATCCTGATATCACCCTTAGGTTTCTCTTCAAACCTTTCATTCACACCTGGCATGGTGGCTCATGCCTGTAAACGTAACATTTGGGGAGGCCAAGGCTGGGGGATCACTTAAGGCCAGGATTTCAAGACCAGCCTGGGCAACACAGCAAGACCCCCATATCTCTACCAAAAAAACAAAACAAAACAAAACAAACAAACAAACAAAAAAAACAGCCGGTTGCGGTGGCACATGCTTGCAGTCCTCGTTACTCAAGAAGCAGAAGCAAGAGGATTGCTTGAGCCCAACAGTTTGAGGCTGTGGTGAGCCAAGATGGCGCCACTGCACTCCAGCCTGGGTGACAGAGCAAGAAACCCCGTCTCTTAAAAAAAAATAAATAAAAATAAAAATAAAACTAAAAACTCAATACAAATGATAAAATCTTTCATTCCTTTAAACGTATCAGTGGTTCCTCTCAATCCTCTCTTCAAGCTCTCCCTACATTCTGTTAACTGGATGGCCTCTGAATCCCTCTGAGCAGGACTTGTGATAGCATAAGACTAGCACCTAATTCATGCATCCCAGAGAGCTCTGAAAAATGCAACACATTATTATGCTTTGGGAGGTTACTTGATTCTGACTGATGAGGGTGTGCAGTGCCCCTGAAACAAATCCAAGTGTGACCCACAGTGCCCTCCTATTTGCTCCCATAACCTTTGTCCTTTGCTTTGCCTTGCAATTGCCAACATTGTTTAGCAAGCTGATCGAGTCTGAGATTGCATCAGATTCAACACTGCACCAAATCCCTCCCTTCAAAAGAGCAGCCCCTATCTTTGCAAAAGATCTGCCTGCTTCCTTCCTTGATTAGCTCTTACTTGAGTGCCTCACTGGGCAAAGGAGGAAAGAAGCTGACAAAGCAAGGATAATGGAAATCTTCAGCTGTTTAAGGTTACCTTTGTACAGGCTGAACTGTACAAACTGACTTCACTACCTTTGGGCTATAAAACTCAACCTTTTTCTTTCAGTAAACATGTACTGAGCCCAGCGCTAAGTGCTCGGCTTTCAAAAATCAGCCATTTTTTCCTTATGGAAGAAAAGAATTATCAACAATTCTGCCACAGTGCAGTATGTTCTAGAACAAAAGTATATACAAGGTTATTACAGCTGCACAGAGGGCAAAGAAGGACACTGAATCTGCCTGGGCAGGATTCGAGGAGTTGGATAATTCCCACATCTCTTTACTCGCCATGGAGGAATGAATGAGCTGACCTACAGTGCCTGTGGGAGGCTAGTGCTGTTGCAGCCTTTTAACGCAGTCTATTTAATGCCATTGCCACTGAATTGCTTTGGTTGCTGTACATGCTTTCCTGTTCTCCTCACATATTTATCTCTTACTTTATTTTCAGAATAGAACATATGGTGTTTCCATTCTCTCTCCAGTCTTTCAACCCCATCATGTTTCCTGCCCTGGAGAGTTGCTTTGACTATCAGAGAAGGCATACTATAATGGCTTAGTTGGAGCAAATAAAGAGGCAGGAATAAGCCTGTTTGCTGAAAGGAGGTGGAAAAGCGTGTGCAGAGCCATTATCAGAAGTACCCACTGCAACCAGGCCCTCCGTGGCTCCAGCAGGTGAGTACCTGCCCTGTGAATGCCCAGGGGCATCCCTGCCAATTGCAGCTGGAGGTATTTGTCTTCACATCAGTTTCTATCCTCTACATCTCACCTTATCCATTTCTAGGGTGTACTGTTAAAATCGTGGTTCTTAACCTTTTATAGTTCATGAAATCCTCTGAGAGAATCTAGTGAAATCCAATGACTCGCTCCCCTGAAAAATTTTCAAAAGCACATAAATGCAAAATATTACATACAACTTCTAGGGATACACAAACCCCTAAACCCTATACACAGAAACCAGGAAAAAGCATACTGTTTAGTTCAAAATCCTTGAGCTTGTACTATGTGCCAAGCACCATGGGGACACCACCTCAAACTTAATGCTTCACCATTCTGAATGCTGGACTGTCCTCCAACATCCTGCCTTTGTTCCATGTAAAGCTTCTGCCTGTAACACTTGTCCCCATGTTCTCTGCCCAGGAAACATCTATTCTGCAGTTCAAGCATCACCTCTTAAATGAAAATAATGGAAACTTTATGAACCCATCACCCTAATCCACCCCTTCCCCAAGAAGGGCAAATTACTCCCCTCTTCCTGTCCCACCATTTTCTGAAGATACTTGAATCAGAGATCCTACAATATTTATTACTTTCATGCAGTCACATCCCTTTCTCTATCAGACTGTCGGCAACCTGAGGGCATGGACTATAACTTAACAATCTTTTATTTCCAGCTCGTAGTTTACAGTCTCTATTCTGGAGGAAAACATTCCTTTGGGGGAAACAAACACACAATCAGTTAATTTTAATACAAGTGTCCTAATGCTCAAACCTGATGAGTGATTTTTAAGCAAAATCTTAGGGGAGGAGTGGCAATAAACTAGACAAAATTGGTGTGTGGAGGTGGGGACATTATTGGCAGGGGGACAGCAAGGCATGCAGCAGAATCACAGTGTACAGGGAAGGCAGTAATTCAGGATTCGTGGTGACTAAATAGGGAGGCAGAAGGCACATGTAAGAGGTGAGGAGAGAGAAGTAAAGAGGAGTATGAGGATAGAGGGCACCAAATGAGGTAGGGAACGTGGACATATCCCAGAGGTGAAAATCACTGAAAGATTTTTTCTCCCTTTTCTACTTAGAAAAGTAACATGATTATTGTAAAAAAATGGAGAAAAGGCAAGAAGACGACAAACTCACAACTCCATCATATAGAGGCAACATTATTACTATTCTCTCATCCTTATGTGTTATGTTAATAAGTATGCATGTGTATGTAACTGTGGTTTGTATTCTACTTTGATTTTGCTAAAATTAAGTATTTACTAGCATCAGGCACTATACTGAATACACTACATGCATTATCCTCAAAATAATTCTTAGTAATTCACAATTATTCATTGTAATTCATTTTTAGGAGGACAAAGTTGGGGGAAGGGTGTCCAACACCACACGACTGATTAATATGTATTTAATAGCAGAGCTGAGAGATTCCAAACCAAGTTTTCTTCAAATACTTCATTTTTTTTCTTTATTCTCATGTGTTTAATTTATAAGTGAATTACTTTTTCCAATTTTCTCAGAAAAATCGCTTTGGGAATTTGATAAGCATTGTGATAAACCTAAAAATAAACCTGGAAAAAAAACCAAACCCATTACTATATTGTTTTCCCATATAGAGAGCACATAAAACTCCTGGCTTTCATTTCAATCTTTTTATAATCTTCGCAAAGTTTGCAGTTTTCTTCATTGAAGACTTGTAAGTTTAGGAGGGTGGCATGTTCAGATATATGCTTTGGACAGATAAATTTGGCAACAGTATGAAGGAAGACAGATTTGAGGAGACGAGATTGGAAGGCTGAAACACAAACTAAGAGAGATGGCCACAGTCCAGGTGAGACACAAGAGCCTAGAACCAAGGCAGTGATGTGTGGTGGGGAGGGCAGGGAACTGCCTCAGGAAACATGGAAGGCAGAATTTAAAGGACATCGAGCAAAAAGACGAAGCAGAGTGGTAGAGGAAAAAGGGGAAGTCAGGGAGAGTGGGTGAAATGGGGATGCCATTCACAGAGAGCACACAGAAGGGATGCAACTTGTGGTGTGGGGGAGGAAATAACAAGTTCAACTGTGAACTAAATCACCGAAATCATTCCAAGTGCCTACTCTATGCTGAGTGCTGAAGAGTCTGTGGCACATCAGACTGGGGTGGCCCCAGGACGGGCAGACTGGGGTTAACAATGAGCAAGGAGATTAGGCTGGGCAGAGGGGTGCACCCTGGTGGAGATGGCCTGGATGGGGCTCTGAAGCTCTAGGAACAGATCTGAAACTGCAAGTGTGAATGAGACTGCCCTCAGAAAACATGCAAGAAATGTGAGAACAGAAGCCAACCAAGGTTAGAGCTTGAATTAAAACAGTGTTTCAAGTTGAACAGACGAAGCAGGCACGCCAAGAGAGCAATAGAAGTTATAATAACCCAATCCTGAGCCCATACTGCCCCTAGACTTCTTGGAAAGAATGATTTTTTTTTTTAATTCAAAGGTCTCTCAGTTGATTTTAAACATTAAACAAAATCACATTAAAAGTCCATGATGAGGGCAAGAATTTGCATCTCCTGGCTGCCTCTCAGAGCTTTATCCACCAGCCACATGGAATTGATGATTAATATTCAGTAGGAAGTGAATGTATAATCATGTGCCTGCCATTCAAATGTGAAAAGAAATGTTTTCTGCTCAGTACACCCAATAATACATTAATATATCTTCAGTTTAAAATACATTTATGAATAATTTTATACATTTTATAAATTTCCTGGCAAGGATGATAATAGAACAATCTATTTTCACTGCTGCATGAAACAAAAAAGAGGAATGAAAGGTTCAGTTAATCAAGGAATTTAATATGCTTTATAATAAATATCAAACAGTCATTACTTGGGCTATACAAAGGGTGGCTGAGGTCACAATATGATTATAATAGCAAGAGTTTGTGTCCATATATATTCTCTGTCAGTTACTTAAATTTGCATATGAAGTTTCCTCTATGATTTTTTTTACCACATTAGAAAGCTAGAAATCAAATTTGCTTGTCCTGATCTATATATGAGCAGCAATAATAAGATTTTGTAATGATTAACAGTAGTAACAATCAAATAAATGGAAAACACTAACCTTTCCAAGGTACCAATGCAATGACAAACAGACGGATATGAAAATAAATTACCTGCACTGCCATACGTAAATGTGGTTTAGAACACCAGGAAAGCACCAGAATCTTAAATGATTACTGTGGCAGTGTTTGATGAGGCCAGGAACAAAAAATACTGTGAATTCTTCATATTTGGTCATCTCTGCCAACAGTGTCTACCCATGTGTTGTGTATACACATGGGCATGTTCAATGTTATAGCATCCTGATCATAAAAAGAGATGCAGTCACTTCAAGATCATAGGGAGAGGCTGGATGCAGTGGATCATGCCTGTAATCCCAGCACCTTGGGAGGCCGAGACAGGCGGATCACCTGAGGTCAGGAGTTTGAGACCAGCCTGGCCACCATGGCAAAACCCCTGTCTCTACTAAAAAATACAAAAATTAGGTGGGGGTAGTGGTGCATGCCTGTAATCCCAGCTACTCGGGAGGGAGGCTCAGGCAGAATTGCTTGAACCCAGGAGGCAGAGGTTGCAGTGAGCCGAGATCCCGCCACTGCGCTCTGGCCTGTGCGAATGGGCGAGATTCAGTCTCAAAAAAAAAAAAAAAAAAAACACCCAGGGAGAAAACCTGGGGCCAGATGGAGATGGAGATGTATGATCCATCCAGGAGGAGCTCATGGAGTCACAGTTTCCCCTCTTAACAAGCACTGCCACTAAAATATGTATTCTACGGTTGTTGCATTAATTCTATTACAATCTACTAGTTGTAACTCCCAGAGTTCTCATTGAGCAAAAAGTTTTGTTTAAAAATGGCTTTGGGATGATTCTTAGTAAATTAAGAATCCTATGATTCCACGATGCTTCCTTTAGGAATAATATCCAAGGAGTAATGTCCACTACAACCTCCTTCAGCAACATTCCTGTTTTTTATTTTTTTGAGATGGAGTCCCTGTCGCTAGGCTGGAGTGCAGTGGCACAATCTCAGCTGCCACCTCTGCCTCCCGGGTTCAAGCAATTCTCCTGCCTCAGCCTCCCGAGTAGCTGGGACTACAGGTGCACGCCACCATGGCCAGCTAATTGTTGTTGTATTTTTAGTAGAGACGGGGTTTCACCATGTTGGCCAAGATGACATTCCTGCTTTTATTGAAGAAAAAAATTCCAAGGCAGAGGGAGCATGCGCTAATGATGACTAATCTCTAAGTATTTAAAGGTGACCAAGATTAAGGGCCTCAAACATGTAAAACACTTGACAAATGTCAGAATAATAAAAGGGGAGATTATAAATGAATGATAGATAACAAGATGCTACAAAATTAAGAACATTCTAGTAAACAGAAATAAAGCTGTGTTCAGTTTGATAATATAGACATGCAAAAATTATGGTAACTTAATTCTTTTAGCATTTATAATGTAAGAGATATATATGGAAAGTAAGTTAAAAACTAGCTTATTCTCAATCATAAAATATATGAGTTAAAATTTTGAATCAAAGCTTGATGAGGGTTATTTAAAAATGTGATTTTTTTCATGTTTTGAGAGTCAAATAAAAGTATACAATTAAACAACAGAACCAGGAAACTGCTCTTTTATTCATTCAAGTATGTTGAGTCTGTTTATGGAACTTAGCCATAATTCATATTTCTACTTCATTGTTAACAAAGTAGGTATAATCTTACATATCTGTAATTCTGGGAAATTTTCAGAATCCATTTAATCATAAGTATCCATCGAATGAAAAAGTTTTCTGTCACTATTTTATGTTCACTCCAAAGTGTGATAAACATTTGATTAGCCAAATTTTAAAAAATCCAACCAAATTACCAAACTAAACTGTACTTAACTGATTTTCCAAACAAACTTAAAATGTGACAAAGAGTTGGTCCTGTAAGTACAAGTGATTGTTAGTATCTATGACGCCTTCAACAAACCATCCAGTGCTCTGCAGTCCTGTCTTCTAGGAGACAGAAAACAGGACTTTGTTTCTGTTCTGAAAAATTACCTTCACTGAGCCAAAGTCATGGATCTGGCAGATACTGCCTCCCCAGGCAATGATGATCCACAACATCCCCATCCTCCTCTCCCCCTATTCCTTGGCCCACCTTCAGGAGGTATGGACAACTGGGTCACAAAGCTGGGCTTCAGAATCCTGGAGTAAGCTTCCCCTGGCCCTGCAACTCAATTCATAATCTTTCTCTACTGCCTTCTCTCTGTGCCATCCAGCATCCACAAACTTCCTCATTCGTAAGAATGGCGAACTTTTTTTTTGAGACGGAGTCTTGCTCTGTTGCTAGGTTGGAGTGCAGTGGCACAATCTCGGCTCACTGCAACCTCCGCCTCCCGGGTTCAAGCGATTCTTCTGCCTCAGCCTCCTGAGTAGTTGGGACTACAGACGCACACCACCATGCCCAGCTAATTTTTGCATTTTTAATACAGACGGGGTTTCACCATGTTGGCCAGGATGGTCTCGATCTCTTGACCTCATGATCCGCCCACCTTGGCCTCCCAAAGTGCTGGGATTACAGGCATGAGCCACCACACTCCGTGGCGAACTTTCCTGATGAATGGTGAATTATTACATGGAGAGTTCTGAGGAGCTTTTGCAAACCTAAAGCGTAAACCAAACACTTCTAGCCTCATTATAGGGGTTAGTAATACACAATCATGACATCAGCAAGCTGGGAAGAACTTTGGATGTAATCTAAGCCTAAACTCCTCATTTTACAGATAGTGAACTATGATACTGGCTATCATCTACAACCAAAATAATAACTGACTCAAAGTAACCTGCACATTCATGTAACATCGGTGGAACAACTCAATTACACATTTTCATGTTTTGAGGCCTTAAATCCTTGTTGTAAGAGGTTGTTCATTTGAACCCAGGTTCTTAATGTTTGCATGTATCTTCTAATTTACAGTCATGTGCAGATTTAGATATATTTAAAAATTTCAAATCCTGTACTTCTTCCATAGACCCTGAATTCACATTTCATTGTTATTAATGGCATCAACATGCCTTTTGTAAACTATTTAAAACAATGAATAACTTTATACATTTAAGAATTCTGAATTCTATTTTCTCTTCTCTGCAACTGGATCAGTGGCGGGGGCTTGGAGAGAGATGAGAAAAACAAGCTCTGGACTCCCACAGACTTCAGACATTATTAGGTGCTGTCATTTTCTCTGTATATTCTCATTTTCTTCCAGTGACAATGTAATACTTATGCAATTAAACAAACATGATATTAAATAGCCTGAATTACAGAATGTTCCCTGCTCCCTGCAATGATCATGATATATGTCTCACTATTAACAAATTTCTCAGGAGAACAAGGGGGGACAGTTTAAAAAGTAGACATGGTAAGCTTTTAATAAAACAATGTTATACCAGTATCTACAGAGAGTAAGCAAGAAAAATTCAGTGATGATTTCTGTCCCCAAGGAAGTCTCAAAAGAAAGATATCCACATCCAGGTAAGTCAGGAACCATGACAATTCCCTGTTGTGTGAAGGTTTCCACAAATCTTTAAAGCTGACTTAAAGAGATTAATATAAGATTATATCCTTACCATAATTTGTCCCTTGGAGCCAATATTTACATTTTGACTTAACATATGTTGATGACCAAAACCATTATATACAAAACGTAAAGAAATGAAATACAAAAATTAAAATAAATGCTGTTCTCCCTAATACCTTCATGTTGTTAACTTTGAGCCTTAGAAAAATGTGAGAACTGTTTTGGCTCAGTAGAAGGGTGCTCTGCTCCAACAATACAATGCTTTACAGACCCCAGGTAACAGAACTCCTTCACAGGGGTGAAATGAGTATTTAATGAGAACACTGATTGTCAGCCAAATTTTAGCATGTACCCTAAGAAACAACGGAGATACACCATTTCTTACAAACAGCTCATAAAAACAGTAGTTAACAACAACAACAAAAAAACCCACCTAGACTTTTAAAAAAATGATTATGCTTCTTTGGAGATGCAGATATGTTTGTATTTGGAGTTTTCTGGCCACTTTCCTGTAATATTTGCTTAAATAATTTCTTTCAACCCTTTACGCCACCACCTGTTATACTGAGGATAAATACAAGTCTCCAGGAGAGAAGCTTCAAAGTATCTCACTTTATGGAAACACAAAAGCATCAAATCAGGCAGTTTGGTTGTTTAATCATAAATTGCTATTTTCCAACTGCTAAATTTTTTTGTGTGTGTGATGGTGTGTTCTGCCAGGTGAAACTGGCACTATCACAAGCTTCTTTATGTCAAATAACTATTTATTGGAAATGAAATGGCTGAAAAACATCCTGTGCCCTTCATTCTATGTTAAAACTCATGGAAGATGTTCTCAAACTCTACTTTTCAAGATCACAGTATTCTTTATATTAAATAACAATAATAAAGCCTAAGAAGTGATTGAGGGGCCACGAAGTGTTAGTTGAACAAGTAAAATGTCTGTTTGCAAATACTATATCGGAGAATGAACAGGTAAGAAGGAATAGAGTATAGGGTGTTATTTTTGATCATCAGTATTCACTCAGAGGGCAGAAGGCTGTCTTTTCAACTTGTCAAGGGTTCAAGAAGGCTAAGTTTAAAACAGTAAGTTTACCACAATTGAACAAACTCTACCACACACAGTGAATGGGACTATATCAACTTTAAAACATAGCCTTTAAAACTCCTCTCATTAGATGATGGAGGCTACGGCCCCTCCCCCTGAATCTAGGCAGCCTTTTGAATGCCTCCTCCAAGGGTGCATGATGAGAAAGGTACCTGCGACTTGGAAGGCTAAGTCTTTGAAGACCATGCATCTTCTGTCTTCTTCACTGGAACATTAGTCTCTGGGCCCTGTAGTAAGTCCCACTACAGGGGCTGCCATGATGGAGGGATCACAAGTAGGCACTCCAATGTACAGCCCCATCTGAACCCAGCCTTCCAAATCCTCACCAAGGTCAGAGAAACATGCCTGATGCCATCTTGAATCAGACTGTTTGCCAGCTAAACACCACTCAGCTGAGCCCTGGCTGAATCTCTGTGCAAAAACTATGAAATATAATAAAATGGCTGTTGCCTTAATTCGCTAAGCTCTAGTATAGTTTGCCATGCAGTAACAGAGAATCAAGAATTTGGAAGAGACTTTGAAGATCTGCTAGTCCCACTGTTTGCTTCTAAGGAAACTAAGACCCAGATGGGTTAAGTGTATATCCAAGGACACTAGTTAGTAATCGGGTTAAAACTAGAATCCAAGTCTCTAGGGTCCCAGCTCTGTTCTTTCAAAGAGCTCATCTTGGTTTCCTCATATCTCACCTCCACTTTCACTATTTTGGGTTTTTTTGTGGGTTTTTTTTCCTTTTTTTTTTGAGACAGGGTCTCACTCTGTTGCCCAGGTTGAAGCGCTGTCAGGGCTCACTGTGGCCTGGACCTTCTGGGCTCAAGAGATCCTCCCACCTCAACCTCCCAAAGTTCTGAGATAATAGGCATGAGCCATCATGCCCAGCCTATTTTGTTATTATATGAACTCAGAAAGTACCAGGGCCAGGTGTGGTGACACATGCCTGTAGTTCCGGCTACTCAGGAGGCCAAGGATTGCTTGATCCCAGGAGTTTGACACCAGTCTGGACAACATAGTGAGACACTGTCTCTTTTTTTTTTTTTTTTTTTTTAAGTAACCAGAGCATGTCCATAAAGGCTGTACTGTATCTTCTCCATTTTTAAAAGTTAAGGCTGGGCACAGTGGCTCATGCCTGCAATCCCAGTACTTTCAGAGGCAGAAGTGGGAGGATCACTTGAGGTCAGAAATTTGAGACCAGCCTAGGCAACACAGCAAGACGACCCCTCAACAACAACAACAACAAAAAAATTTAATTAGCTGGGCATGGTGGCATATACCTATACTCCTAGCTACTCAAGAGGCTGAGGCAAGAGGAATGCTTGAGCCCAGGAGTTCGACGCTGCAGTGAGCTGTAATCGTGCCACTGTACTCCAGCCTGGGTGACAGAGCTAGACCCCATCTCGATAAATAAATAATAAAGTTAAGAATAATTCTGACATATTTTCTTCTGTCTTTATCTTAAACATTTTCTTTAGATGAAATTGGGAAAGAATTACTATTTGGAGAGCATGGAATAAAACTTCTGATCCAAGTTTGTTTCAGCAATGCAGACATTAGTATTAGCCTCAAAAACCTGTCTGAAATGTCACCTCTTCATTCCCATTTCATGTGAAACATCTTCAGGTAAACGCCGCTGTTACTTTTTTAGTACTTATACAGTCATTGTTTTGCTCCAACTAGTTAAGACAACCTATGACCATTTATTATCTCTAGTAACACAGTTCTTGGTTTTATTTCTTTAGTTAGCTGGCATACTTATTAAAAAGGCAACACTGAGCTTCCCAAGGTTAGCCTTTTGTGTGAACAGTTTACAGGAAACAGGTGATCTTTAGGCTCCATATGAACCTGAAATTGAAGATTAATGATCTGCTCAGTAAGAAGCATTCTCATTAAGCACATTAGTCTTTTGGATACTGTGTTCATTAAACTGTTAATGAATAAAGAAAAGACAATTTCAAAGACAAGTTCTGGCAGTTGTTTTAAAAGGAAAAGGACACAAGGTATTGGCATACACAGGGCTAGCGCACTGTAAGTAACTAGAGGTCACAGGCTCATAAATGGTTGAATTATTTTTGGGGATTCAGTGTCTAACATTTTCATCCAGAAGAAGCTTTTCTCTAAATTTACATGAAATATTAAAGATTTTTGAAAATCAGCTCTACTATCTGATGGCTCTCTCTTCACTTAATAAACCTGTATCCTCCATCTCCTATCCTGAACATAAGAGATCCCTCAAATGCCTTAAAATGGGAACCTCTTGCCCTACCAATGAATTATTTATCAGTAAAACACTAATTTTCAAATGCATGACAGCACCTTCTAGAATCAGAAGAATTCTATTACACCAAAAGGATTTTTTGAATTTATAAACCTTTATAAACTTTCAGAATATTTAATATACCAAATTTTAAAAGGCAGAAATCTAAAGAATAAATACCTCAGAATAATTACTCAAGATGAAATGCTCATCACAACCTTAAAAATATTTGCAAACATTTCATGAACATGATACAATTAGGTAAATTTCCTGTGTAACATACTATTTCCTAGATAATAGTTTTTTCAGTCATGCATTTTGTGATTCTGTTTCTTTAATATGGAAGCTGCAGTTTCAGTTCAAACTAAGTTGCTGTATTTATATGGCATTCTAGGCCCAGGATATTACAGCAGTTGGGATAATGAGATCTTTCAAAGCAACTTAACATTTGTGTTATTTCATCCTCAGAAAAAGTCCTATGTGGTGCCACCAACACATATTATGATGATTTTAAGACAACCTGAGGACCAGAGAGTCTGAGTAACATGCTACACCACCAGACTACACCATCCTGACTCAGGAAGCAGCTTCCATTTCCACAGCAGATTCATCAAAAAATAAAGTACAATAAATGGCAGTCTTACTTTTGGCTAAGGCTGGCCAAATGGGCCCAGACCAGGTATCTCTGAATTGGAGAATTCTAAGACTCACTAAGTGAGGACCCACATCTACTATTTAGTAGCACAACCCTTTGTTAAAATGATTCTGCCTCCATATTCCTTCAGGTCAGTTGACTCCAAATTCCTGTTTTTGTTTTTTCTAAAAAGTCTACTTTTTGTGCCAGGCGTGGAGGCTCACACCTATAATCCCAGCACTTTGGGAAGCTGAGGCGGGCGGGTCACGAGACCAGCCTGACCAGCATGGTGAAACCCCATCTCTACTACAAATACAAAAATTAACTGGGCTTGGTGGCGTGCACCTGTAATCCTAGCTACTCAGGAGGCTGAGGCAGGAGAACTGTTTGAACCTGGGAAGCGGAGGTTGCAATGAACCGAGATCATGCCACTCCACTCCAGCCTGGGCGACAGAGAGCAACTCTGTCCCCACCAAAAAAAAAAAAAAAAAAAGTCTACTTTTTATAAAATATATTTTCTTTACTACCTCATCTGTTGTCCTTATGCACACAGAAGAAAATTCAGCTGTGCTACTTGGCAGAAAGCTTAACTGAGTAGTGGGGCAGGGCAATGGAAGTACAGGCTAACTCTGCATGTCAGTTTCCTTATCCATAAAATGGGTGGTTTTATATGACTCTTGTAAGAATCAAGTGAGACACAAGTGCTTTGTTAACTGTAAAGTGTTACAGCTACACAAAATGAAGCTATTACTGTTACACATGCATGTCAGGAAAAGAAATTAACTTTATAGTACTATTTATGAAACTTTTTCCTTCCATTAACTCATTGTTATATCCAAGTCAGTCTTTTATCTGTGGTGATATTAGCAGGATTTTCAAGTGAATGAAACAAAACTCATAGAAATGAGACAATATAGATTATAAAATTCATAATTTCCCAATACATTAGCAAATCAAATATTTATACTATCCATATTGTATCTGTTCATGCTTATATCTATAACTAGATGCTATGAACTGAACTGTGTCCTTCCAAATGTATATGTTGAAGCTCTAACCCCCAGTACAATGGTATGGAGAGATGGGGCCTTTGGAAGGTCATTGGGATTAGATGAGGTCAAGAGGGTGGGGCCCTCACAAGGGGATTAGTTCCCTCATAAGAGACAGGGGAGTTCACACAGTCATGCACACAGTCTCTCTCTCCATCATGTGGAAACAGAGAGACACAGTGGTCATCTGCAAGCCAGGAAGAGTGCCCTCACCATAAACTGACCACAGTGGCAGCACTCTAATCCCAGACTCCCAGCCTCCAGAACCATGAGAAAATTTCTGTTTAAGCTGTAGAGACTGTGGTACATTGTTATGGCAGACCTAGCCGACTAAGATAGTAGACTGACCAGGAACCACCTCAGTGATTCAGCCTAAGTTCCAATCCTGCCATAACCATCTGATTGCTACATAACATTAGGCAAATTACTTTTCTGATCCTTAATCTTAGCAACCAAAAATGGGTAATATAACAGCACCTACCTCATAGCATTACTATGACTATTAAATGTGTCAATACACGTATTTATAATTATGCCTGGCACTTAATATATGTTGCTGTCTTTATGCACCTTCTTAGTTTTTAACAGGCACAGAGTAGACAATAAATTCTGAAGTGATGAATTTCATTACAAAGTAGGATGGAACTGCCAGGCATGGTGGCTCACGCCTGTAATTCCAGCACTTTTGGGAGGCTGAGGTGGGCAGATCACTTGAAGTCAGGAGTTTGAGACCAGCCTGGCCAACATGGTGAAACCCCATCTCTACTAAAAACACAAAAATTAGCCAGTCGTGGTGGCGAACGTCTGTAGTCCCAGCTACTCGGGAGGGTGAGGCAGGAGAATCGCCCAGGAGGCGGAGGGTGCAGTGAGCCGAGATCACGCCACTGCACTCCAGCCTGGGCGACAGAGCGAAACTCTGTCTCAAAAAAAAATAAAAACAATGAGCCGCGCGTGGTGGCACACAACTGTAATCCCAGCTACTTGGGAGGCTGAGGCATGGTAATCGCTTGAACCCAGGAGGCGGAGGTTGCAATGAGCCGAGACAGCGCCACTGCGCTCCAACCTGGGTAACACAGTGAGACCCTGTCTCAAAAAAAAAAAAAAAAAAAAAAAGTAGGGTGGAACTAGCCCATGTGAAGTCATCTGGTCTACCCCCATTGGAAGCAGGGACACATCCAAATGATCAGACACTGATCACTCCTTGTCTACTTGTAAACATTTTCAGGGAAACAAGTCTACATTCGGACCACATTAAGTGTTTGACAATCTATGCCATTAGGTTAGTTACAGGAATGAATTCCCTAAATCTGACAGAATTCTCTCTACATCTACTTCCACAGCTGGTGTCCCTATATTATCACAGGCTGCTGGTAAACTTTCTCTTTCAAAGCCCAGCAACTTCAGCTCCATTGCTCTTTCCTCGCAGTTAGCAATGTTTACTCTAATTTGAATGCTCAAATGTAGAAATACTTCCAGCACTCTATTGACCCAGGTTAAAAAAATCCTGAAGAACTCAAAAAGGATTACACTGGGAAGTGCAAGAAAACCAAAAACCGCAAGATAAACTTTCACCAAGTTTCAGTCTTTACTCATTGGCTCCAAACTGTGGCTTATGAATGATTCTAATCAGAACTATTTATCATAGAAGGTAAATGAATATATTCATTTTTATTCATTCCTATTATAATATTATGAAAAGTGAGCCCCGGTATAAACTGAATAAAGTCACCAGAGGAATAAAATCAATTAAAGACATACTATGTACTTACACTCAGGCAGACTTGGCAATTCAGTGCTTTAAGCTAATTTCTCTCCTGATATTTTCAGAATCTAATTCGGTAACATAAGTAATGCTTATTAGTAATATTAATGTACCATATGCTATCTCCATCAACTTAATAATGTTCTTGGGTTTTTTTTTTTTTTTGACTAAAATGTCAATCTAACATGTGGAATCCTACCCAAGAGAATCTACGCAAAATTACAATTAACAGATTCATTCTATAGACATAGTAATCAGCCATGGGACCATTCATGAATGCCTGTAATTAAGTTATTTTACACATTACAATAATTTTACTTGAAATCATAAGATTTCCATTAACTACTATAAACAGCTACTAGCACCACACACTGTACCAAGCCCTTTAAGTGCATTATTGCAGTTCAACTTTACAATGAGAAAAACAAAGGCTCAGAAAGCTTTAACAGTTAAGGTTGTACAACCAGTAAGTAGTGAAGTAATGATTTTAATTCAGGCATTCTAATATCAGAAAATAACCCCTTTCTACTGCTTTCTACCGGACATAGATGGAAAAAAAAATGCCTGTAAAACAGTGAAAAAGCAGATTCAGGCAAGCAAATACATTTTCTATAAAGAGCCATGGACACTACTAACCCAAGGAAAGGAGAGAGTCTATTGAGGGTCTCCCCACAAAAAAAAAAAAAAAAATCAGTTTTTTGTTTTTTAAGACAGAAAAATAGAAAATGTCTTATGCCTCCAATATTTATATTAACAATTATTAATACTAAAAATTATATTTTAGTACACAGAAATGTCAGATGATTTCCCACATTTAATACTTTAGAAGAAAATAATACAAAAATTTAAAAGAAATGTACCCATTTCCCATTTTCATTTATGTGGCTTACAGAACTCCATTACCAGCCAGTGCTGATCAGCATACTAGGGAACTTCAGTCCACAAAGGTGGTTTCAGGAACTGGCACATACATAATTTCATCAGAGCCATTTGCTGAGATTTCTAGGGAAGAGAAGCTATCAGAACGTTTTCTTCCTGGGGGCCGGAGAGGGCAGTTCTTAGCTGAGAAACTACCACTGCCACTCTACTGCAAGGAGAGAGCTGAAGTTAAGGGGTCCCTTCCATGGTGCCTGAGAGCAATACTAGCTCTTGAAGCTAGGGATACCGCTGAACCTTTTTGTCACCGCATTAATTGTTCAGGCCATTCGATGTAAGCTCTCCATCCCTGCTATGACCAAAGATTCCTAATAGGAAGTCAAAAGTCAAGAAATGTTTAAACACGCACACATTCTCTATTCCTTCTTTTGTCTTGCCACCAGTACCCAAGGGAAGCCACTGTAGTGCACCCATTTTAAAGCAGGCAAACCTTACGAAACCTCAGTATGGGAACTGATGATGACAGCACAGGAAAACTGAGACTTTCAGTTTCAAAACGCAGCAGTGTCAGCTAGGATTTCTACGGCACCATGCAGTTAACAAATCTTGACTCATGAGTTCTGTACCATAATTATCCCAGTTTTACAGAACTGACAATCCAGTCCCCTTTTGGATCAAGGACCCCTTAAGAATCTAATGAAAACTATAGATTCCTCTCACCAGAGACCTGCGAGTACATAAATAAACACATTTTCCATACAGTTGAGGGGATTCAACAATACTCCTCCTCCAGGCCCACCCATGCAGATCCACAGACCACCCCCCCCCCCCAAATAGAGAAGCCCTATGTAGTAACCGCTGCTTGGGCAGTAAGAAAAACGGTAATGGGACAACCAGCATCTACCTGTTCGGTTTCTCAAAAAGGTTATCCACTATGCCTGAGGCTTCTACAAGTCTCCTCAAAGATACCTAACAGATACTCTCCTATAAAAAGCCTGATTCCCAAACTGTGAAAACTTTCACTTATTCATCTTCTTTTGGTTACAACAAAAATAAGGCGACAATCACAAGAACATGAACTGAAACTTTCACATTCTGTCATCAGAAGTCAAATATGATTTTAGATTATATTTTCTTGTTCAACAATTCAAGTTATTGGGAAAAACTCTGTATAGCATTTATATTTATTTGTAATTTCTATAAAACACGGTAAACAGCCCTTAGTATAATTTCCCTTTGTACACTGTTACCATGAGAAAATGAGTTTCAATTTACTTTCTCAAACTGCATAGTATCAGGCAAGTTGCTATAAATGAGAAGGCAATCTATACTATGCCTGAATCTCTGTTAATTTGCAGTAATTAACTACACTAAAAATTTATTCAGGCTGGGCACAGTGGCTCATGCCTGTAATCCCAGCACTTTGGGAAGCTGAGGCGGGCAGATCACCTGAGGTCAGGAGTTCAAAACCAGCTGGGCCAACATGGCAAAACCCCATCTCTACAAAAAACACAAAAATTAGCCAGGCATGGTGGCAGGTGACTGTAATCTCAGCTACTTGGGAGGCTGAGGCAGGAGAATCACTTGAACCCAGGAGGCGGAGGTTGCAGTGAGCCGAGATTGTGCCACTGCACTCCAGCCTAGGCGACAAGAACAAAACTCCATCTCAAAAAATTAAAAAAAAAAAATTATTCACAAAACATCTCTCAGAAGACAAACAGGTAAATTCAATCACTGCTTTATATACCTGGAAAGACATATAGAAAAATTAAATGCTTTACTCCAGGTTATCATGGGTGGACAATACTAAGAAAGTGGTAATTTTAGAAGTTTAGAATGCATGGCCAAGGTAGCTCCTAAGTAAGTTCATTTGGACTTCAAAAAGCTATTAAACAACTTATTACAATTACTTTTTTAAGAGAGGGTCTCACTCTGGAGCCCAGGCTGGAGTGCAGTGGCACAATCATGGCTCACTGCAGCCTCAACCTCCCAGGCTCAAACGATCCTGCTGCCTCAGCTGCCTGAGTGGCTGAGACTACAGGTGCATGCCACCACACCTGGCTAATTTATTTATATTTTTAGTAGAGATTGGGTCTCGCTACATTGCCTAGGCTGGTCTTGAACTTGGCTAGGCTCAAGCAATCCTCCCACTTCAGTATCCCAAAGTGCTTGGATTAAAGGTGTGAGCCACTGTGCATGGCCACAATTACTATCTTATTATCCAAATAATTTCTCATTACTTATAGAAAATAAAGTAACAAGTGCACAGGGTTACAGCAGAAATTAGATAGATTTTTCTATACATGTTTGCAAAATATTAATTATTGTATACTTTTCTATTCTAGTTGCAGATTAAAAGTCAGTAGTCATGATCACCTTTTTTACCCAAAGGTATGTGAAAAATTGTAAGCTTTTCTATCTTATTTACAAAAGAAAAAAGAAAAAACCACTCAGAGGGGAACTTTTCTCAATCCACTTTGAAATTTATATGTGAGAGTAAATAAAAATTAACAACTGACAGGTACTGTTCCAAGACGGCCGAATAGGAACAGCTCTGGTATGCAGCTCCCAGTGTGATCGATGCAGAAGATGGGTGATTTCTGCATTTCCAACTGAGGTACCTGGTTCATCTCATTGGGACTGGTTGGACAGTGGGTGCAGCCCACAGAGGGTGAGCCAAAGCAGGGCAGGGCGTCGCCTCACCCAGGAAGCACAAGGGGTCGGGGGATTTCCCTTTCCTAGTCGAGGGAAGCCACGACAGTCTGTACCTGGAAAAACTGGACACTCCAGCTAACTACTGTGCTTTTCCCATGGTCTTAGCAACTGGCAGACCAGGCGATTCTCTCCCATGCCTGGCTTGGCAGGTCCCACGGCCAGAGCCTTGCTCACTGCTAGTGCGGCAGTCTGAGATCGACCTGCGAGGCTGCAGCCTGGTAGGGGAAGGGGTGTCTGCCATTGCTGAGGCTTGAGTAGGTAAACAAAGTGACCGGGAAGCTCAAATTGGGCAGGGCCCACCACAGCACAGCACAACAAAGCCTACTGCCTCTATAGACTCCACCTTCGTGGGCACGGCATAGCTGAACAAAAGGCAGCAGAAACTTCTGCAGACTTAAACATCCCTGTCTGACAACTCCGGAGAGAGTAGTGGTTCTCCCAGCATGGTGTCTGAGCTCTGAGAATGGACAGACCGCCTCCACAAGTGGGTCACTGACCCCCATGTAGCCTAACTGGGAGATGCTTTCCAGTAGGGGCAGACAGAAACCTCATACAGGCAGGTGTCCCTCTAGCACGAAGCTTCCACAGAAAGGATCAGGCAGCAACATTTGCTGTTCTGCAATATTTGCAGTTCTGCAGCCTCAACTGGTGATACCCAGGCAAACAGGGTCTGGAGTGGACATCCAGCAAACTCCAACAGACCTGCAGCTAAGGGACCTGTTAGAAGGAAAACTAAGAAATAGAAAGGAATAGCATCAACATCAACAAAAAGGACATCCACACCAAAATCCCATCTGTAGGTCACCAACATCAAAGACCAAAGGTAGATAAAACCACAAAGATGGGAAGAAACCAGAGCAGAAAAGCTGAAAATTCTAAAAACCAGAGCGCCTGTTCTCCTCCAAAAGATCGCAGTTCCTCACCAGCAAAGGAACAAAGCTGGACGGAGAATGACTTTGACGAGTTGACAGAAGTAGGCTTCAGAATGTCGGTAATAACAAACTTCTCTGAGCTAAAAGTTTATGTTCTAATCCATCCAAGGAAACTAAAAACCTTGAAAAAAGGTTAGATGAATGGCTAACTAGAATAACCAGTGTAGAGAAGACCTTAAATGACCTGATGGAGCCGAAAACCATGGTATGAGAACTTTGTGACGCATGCAGAAGCTTCAATAGCTGATTTGATCAAGTGGAAGAAATGATATCAGTGATTGAAGATCAAATGAATGAAATAAAGCAAGAAGACAAGATTAGAGAAAAAAGAAGAAAAAGAAACGAACAAAGCCTCCAAGAAATATGGGACTATGTGAAAAGACCAAATCTATGTTTGATTGGTGTACCTGAAAGTGACAGGGAGAATGGAACTAAATTGGAAAACACTCTGCAGGATATTATCCAGGAGAACTTCTCCAACCTAGCAAGGCAGGCCAACATTCAAATTCAGGGAATACAGAGAACACCACAAAGATACTCCTCAAGAAGAGCAACCTCAAGACACATAATTGTCAGATTCACCAAGGTTGAAATGAAGGAAAAAATGTGAAGGGCAGCCAGAGAGAAAGGTCGGGTTACCCACAAAGGGAAGCCCATCAGACAAACAGCGCATCTCTCAGCAGAAACCCTACAGCCAGAAAAGAGTGGGGGCCAATATTCAACATTGTTAAAGAAAAGAATTTTCAACCCAGAATCTCATATCCAGCCAAACTAAGCTTCATAAGTGAAGGAGAAATAAAATCCTTTACAGACAAGCAAATGCTGAGACATTTTGTCACCACCAGGCCTGCCTTACAAGAGCTCCTGAAGGAAGCACTAAACATAGAAAGGAACAACCAGTACCAGCCACTGCAAAAACATGCCAAATTGTAAAGACCATCAATGCTATGAAGAAAGTGCCTCAATTAACGGTCAAAATAACCAGCGAAGATCATAATGACGGGATCAAATTTACACATAACAATATTAACCTTAAATGTAAATAGGTTAAATGCCCCAGTTAAAAGACACAGACTGGCAAATTGGATAAAGAGCCAAGACCCATCAGTGTGCTGAATTCAGGAGACCCATCTCAAGTGCAGAGACACACACAGGCTCAAAATAAAGGATGGAGGAAGATCTACCAAGCAAATGGAAAGCAAAAAAAAAAAAAAAAAAAAAAAAAAAAAAAAAAAATCAGGGGTTGCAATCCTAGTCTCTGATAAAACAGACATTAAACGAACAAAGATCAAAAGAGACAAAGAAAGCCATTACATAATGGTAAAGGGATCAATTCAACAAGAAGAACTAACTCTCTTAAATATATACGCACCCAATACAGGAGCACCCAGATTCATAAAGCAAGTCCTTGGAGACCTACAAAGAGACTTAGACTCCCACACAATAATAACAGAAGACTTTAACACCCCACTGTCAATATTAGACAGATCAACGAGAACGAAGGTTAACAAGGATATCCAGGACTTGAAGTCAGCTCTGCACTAAGCAGACCTAATAGACAGCTGCAGAATTCTCCATCCCAAATCAACAGAATATACATTCTTCTCAGCACCATATAGCACTTATACTAAAATTGACCACATAATTGGAAGTAAAGCACTCCTCAGCAAATGTAGAAGAACAGAAATCACAACAAACTGTCTCTCAGACCATAGTGCAATCAAATTAGAACTCAGGATTAAGAAACTCACTCAAAACCACACAACTACATGGAAACTGAACAACCTGCTCCTGAATTACTGGGTACGTAACAAAATGAAGGCAGAAATAAAGAACAAAGACATAACGTACCAGAATCTCTGGGACACATTTAAAGCAGTGTGCAGAGGGAAATTTATAGCACTAAATGCCCACAAGAGAAAGCAGGAAAGATCTAAAATCGACACCCTAACATCACAATTAAAAGAACTAGAGAAGCAAGAGCAAACACATTCAAAAGCTAGCAGAAGACAAGAAATAACTAAGATCAGAGCAGAACTAAAGGAAACAGAAACACAAAAAACCCTTCAAAAAAAAAAAATCAATGAATCCAGGAGCTGGTTTTCTGAAAAGATCAACAAAATTGATAGACCGCTAGCAAGACTAATCAAGAAGAAAAGGGAGAAGAATCAAATAGATGCAATAAAAAATGATAAAGTGGATATCACCACCAATCCAACAGGAATACAAACTACCATCAGAGAATACTACAAACACACCCACACAAATAAACTAGAAAATCTAGAAGAAATGGATAAATTCCTGGACACATACAACTTCCCAAGACTAAACCAGGAATAAGTTGAATCTCTGCATAGACCAATAACAGGCTCTGAAATTGAGGCAATAATTTATAGCTACCAACCAAAAAAAGTCCAGGACCAGATGGATTCACAGCCAAATTCTACCAGAAGTATAAAGAGGAGCTGGTACCATTCCTTCTGAAACTATTCCAATCAATAGAAAAAGAGGGAATCCTCCCTAACTCATTTTATGAGGCCAGCATCATCCTGATACCAAAGCCTGGCAGATATACAAGAAAGAAAGAGAATTTTAGATCAATATCCCTGATGAACATCGATACAGAAATCCTCAATAAAATACTGACAAACCAAATCCAGCAGCACATCAAAAAGCTTATCCAACATGATCAAATCAGCTTCATCCCTGGGATGCAAGGCTAGTTTAACATACACAAATCAATAAACGTAATCCATCACATAAACAGAACCAATGACAAAAACCACATGATTATCTCAATAGATGCAGAAAAGGCCTTCAACAAAATTCAACAGCCCTTCATGCTAAAAACTCTCAATAAACTAGGTATTGATGGAACATATCTCAAAATAATAAGAGCTATTTATGACAAACCCACAGCCAATATCATACTGAATGGGCAAAAACTGGAAGCATTCCCTTTGAAAACCGGCACAAGACTAGGATGCCCTCTCTTACCACTCCTATTTAACACAGTGTTGGAAGTTCTGGCAATCAGGCAAGAGAAAGGAATAAAGAGTATTAAATTAGGAAATGAGAAAGTCAGACTGTCCCTGTTTGTAGATGACATGATTGTATATTTAGAAAACCCTACCATCAGCCAAGCACAGTGGCTCCCACCTCTAATCCCAGCACTTTGGGAGGCTGAGGCATGCAGATCACCTGAGGTTGGGAGTTCGAGACCAGCCTGGCCAATATGGTGAAACCCCGTCTCTACTAAAAATAGAAAAATTAGCCGGTCATGCTGGCAGGTGCCTGTAATCCCAGCTACTTGGGAGACTGAGGCAGGAGAATCACTTGAACCCGGGAGGCAGAGCTTGCAGTGAGCCGAGATCCTGCCACTGCACTCCAGCCTGGGCGACAGAGTGAGACTCTGTCTCAAAAAAAAAAAAAAAAAGAAAAAGAAAAAGAAAACCCCATCATCTCAGCCCAAAATCTCCTTAAGCTGATAAGCAACTTCAGCAAAGTCTCAGGATACAAAATCAATGTGCAAAAATCACAAGCATTCCTATACACCAATATCAGACAGAGAGCCAAATCATGAGTGAACTCCCATTCACAACTGCTACAAAGAGAATAAAATAGCTAGGAATCCAACTTACAAGAGATGTGAGGGACCTCTTCAAGGAGAACTACAAATCACTGCTCAATGAAATAAAAGAGGACGCAAACAAATGGAAGAACATTCCATGCTCATGGGTAGGAAGAATCAATATTGTGAAAACGGCCATACTGCCCAAGGTAATTTACAGATTCAATGCCATCCCCATCAAGCTACCAATGACTTTCTTCACAGAATTGGAAAAAACTACTTTAAAGTTCATATGGAACCAAAAAAAGGCCCACATTGCCAAGACAATCCTAAGCCAAAAGAACAAAGCTGGAGGCATCACGCTACCTGACTTCAAACTATACTACAAGCCTACAGTAACCAAAACAGCATGGTACTGGTACCAAAACAGAGATATAGACCAATGGAACAGAACAGAGGCCTCAGAAATAACACCACACATCTACAACCAACTGATCTTTGACAAACTTGACAAAAACAAGAAATGGGGAAAGGATTCCTTATTTAATAAATGGTGCTGGGAAAACTGGCTAGCCATATGTAGAAAACTGAAACTGGATCCCTTCCTTACACCTTATACAAAAATTAATTCAAGATGGATTAAAGACTTAAGTTAGACCTAAAACCATAAAATCCCTAGAAGAAAACCTAGGCAATACCATTCAGGACATAGGCATCAGCAAGGACTTCATGTCTAAAACACCAGAAGCAATGGCAACATAAGCCAAAATAGACAAATGGGATCTAATTCAACTAAAGAGCTTCTGCACAGTGAAAGAAACTACCATCAGAGTGAACAGGCAACCTACAGAATGGGAGAAAATTTTTGCAATCTGCCCATCTGACAAAGGGCTACTATCCAGAATCTACAAAGAATTCAAATTTACAAGAAAAAAACAAATGACACCATCAAAAAGTGGGTAAAGGATATGAACAGACACTTCTCAAAAGAAGACATTTATGCAGCCAACAGAAACATGAAAAAATGCTCATCATCCCCCGTCATCAGAGAAATGCAAATAAAAACCACAATGAGATACCAACCCACACCAGTTAGAATGGCGATCATTAAAAAGTCAGGGAACAACAGATGCTGGAGAGGATATGGAGAAATAGGAATACTTTTACACTGTTGGTGGGAGTGAAAATTAGTTCAACCATTGTGGAAGACAGTGTGGCAATTCCTCAAGGATCTAGAACTAGAAATACCATTTGACCCAGCCATCCCATTACTGGGTATATACCCAAAGGATTATAAATCATTCTACTATGAAGACACATGCACACGTATGTTTATTGCAGCACTATTCACAATAGCAAAGACTTGGAACCAACCCAAATGTCCATCAGTGGTAGACTGGATTAAGAAAATGTGGCACATATACACCGTGGAATACTATGCAACCATAAAAAAGGATGAGCTCATGTCCTTTGCAGGGACATGGATGAAGCTGGAAACCATCATTCTCAGCAAACTATCACAAGGACAGAAAACCAAACTCATGTTCTCATTTATAGTTGGGAATTGAACAATGAGAACACTTGGACACAGGGTGGGGAACAGCACACACCAGGGCCTATTAGAAGGTGGGGGGCTGCAGGAGGGATATCATCAGGAGAAATACTTTATGTAAATGATGAGTTGATAGGTGCAGCAAACCAACATGGTACATGTATACCTATGTAACAAACCTAAATGTTGTGCACATGTACCCTAGAACTTAAAAAAATAATAATAATAATTAACAACTGACAGTGGCACATACAGTAGCTCTACCATTAATTTGACAATAAACTCTACAGGTTACCTCTTCACAGAATTTATCACTTTTTGAAAATTAAAATTTGAGCCAGATGTCTTCTAAATTCTGTTATATCACAACAGGATTGGGGCTATTTTGCCTATGCATGCACCTGTAACTAATTTCCTTCTCCTGAGGCAGAGAGGACCCTTCTCCCCTTCATATGTAGCCTCTTTCACTTCCAAGGACAGTCAGCCTGATCCAGCCAGGATCCCGGAAGGGGCACTGGAGGCTGCCTGGAAGAACTTGCCCCAAGGGTGGATTAAATACCTGGGAACACACCCAGCTCACAGCTGGAGGAAGGCCACCTGGGATGAGGCAGTCACCCAGAAATGTAGAGACAGACAGGCATGCTAGTTCAGGAATGCCGTCAGTGTGAGGGAGGGAAGGAAAAAGCCAGGAGTAGTTCTCAACTTTTTGGACTCCTGGTACACTTCCAAATACTGGAATTTTTGACTAGGGGACTTTTCTTGAAGCTGTTTTTGCACAAGACTGAGAAAATATCCATTTTCCATACTGAAGAATGAGGAGAATGCTCAAGAGCCACAGGTGCTGGAGTTAAAAGGCGGCATACCACCAAGCCTCCTTGCTAGTTCTGCTCAGATGTCATGCCACTCAACTAGGTCATTCCTCAGCCCTGAGAAGCTGCTTTTGAATAGAATTGTTTACTGCCAGGCCTGGATTTCTATTATGCCCAGGAGGTGGTTTTCCCACATTGCAGTAAACATTTGATCTTTCTTACGTGCCAAGCTGAAGTTAAGCCTCCCATCTCTTATTGCAGGAAACTGTACCCCACTCTTATTCACAGCCCTACTTAGAACAGACAGCACAATATGACTAAGGAAGACTTGTGAAAATACAACAGTTTCATCACAATTTAGGGCTAAGATTTAAGATACCACCAGTATGACAGCTAAAGAAGGGAACAGAAAAGTACAGCTCCTGTCACTAAATCTGTAGGCACAGACAGGCCACAACCAGAGTCTGCTACAGGAAGGAGGAGAAGTAGCACCACATTGGAGAGGACTTTATTTCCAGGGCAAGAGGGTGATTAGGAAACACTGACAAGAGCAACACAGAATCCAAAGAACTAAAGAGACTGAGGTCCTAGGCATGTTTCTGAGATAGGAGTTTGAACAACTGAGGAGGAAAAGGACAAGCCAAATTATTAGAACTGAAAGGTTACTGCTGGACTGATAGTAAACACTGACAAGAGCAACACAGAATCCAAAGAACTAAAGAGACTGAGGTCCTAGGCATGTTTCTGAGAAAGGAGTCTGAACAACTGAGGAGGAAAAGGACAAGCCAAATTATTAGAACTGAAAGGTTACTGCTGGACTGATAGTAAATGCTGAATTGTCTCATCTTGCCTGCCTGGAGTCAGAATTGGTTCCAGAGACTGGAATGTAGCTGAGCTAGGAAGTGGGAATCAAAAGCCCAGGGGTGGGGGTGGGGGGTTCTGTCAAGGCTGGAATTCAGTGAGAGCCTAAAGCCTGTTTTAACTCAGGCAGGGAAGATGACTAAGAGTGGAAACCAGGCTCGAAAAATCATGAGTCATTCTTAAAAGAAACCAACATCAGTGTCAGTAACTTCCCTGGGAACTTGGAAAAGGGGCCTGAACAAATATTTTGGAATCTAATATCCTGCACCAACACTGAACTGCTCCTTCATTTGGATAGGTCACTCTAACTTTTCCGTTCTCAGAGCTCTTTCAGTTACCAAACGAGACTAACAATATCTGTTTGCAATATTTTTACCAGTAAAAAAAAATCAGTAGGAAAAAAGGTGACCTTCTGGAGAAATAAATTATTACACATGAACTCCTTATACATAGGGAGAGTCTGCAAACAGTTCCCTCCGAACCAGTGTCACACTCATCAGTAAACTCATCAGTGCAATAATCCTCAGAATGAATGTGCAGTTCAGTTTCACAATTACAGCAGGACAATTAAAATCTGAATTTCTGTAAAATGAGATAGGAGTGAATTTTCCTCACACATTCTCTTCCAACTTAAGAACACATTTGCTAATTTCCTATAATTGGCAAGGCATTATGTGAACTGCTTAAAGAGATTACAAAAATAACTAAGACCAAAAGCTACCTGACTTTAAAGTAAAAACAGAATTAGAAGGTTAAGGATTGTTAGTCTGCTACCTATAAGAAACGAATACTTCAAGATTTAATTCAAAATACATTTTCTAGATATTCTTATAGTTCCAATACACTAGATTACTACTGATATCTATAACACAGATGAATCCCCAGAAAGATTGTGCTAAGTGAAGCCAGGCACAAAAAACTACATTTTACATGATTTCTTTAGAACGAAGCTCAAGAATGGGCAAAATCAATTTATGGAGGAAGTCTTTAAGTGCTTGCAGGGACCATGTGGAGGAAGGTTGACATGAAAGGGGTACAAGGGTGCTGGAAATGTCCTCCATCTCTTGTTTTGGGTGGTGGCTATACAACTGTCATAACTTAAACAGTTAACAGTACATTTTACTATATGTAAAATATGCTTTTACAATGTTAACCAAAAATATCACTGGACTAAATAAGCAGTACTAGGAATAGAGGGTTCAGACAAGAGCACAGGCAAAAGATAATGTTAATATTTCTTATACTTGATCTCAATGGCATTTATAAAGACAATATTCCCAATTTGAAAGGAATTAGAGGTATTAGATATAACAATAATACAGATATATTACCTGCTAGTTTCAATCACATATGAAAGATCCCTACACAGAAAAATAAGTCACAGGACTGTTTAACAGCAAGTGATAACAGAATTTGCAACCCTTTATTTTTTGCCCTATGAACTGAAAACAAAGCAAGCTTTAATTTGCATCTTCCATATCACTCTATTACTAGGGTGCTTTGGCTATTCACAGGGGAGGAAATCCCCAGTGTGATTCTCTAATATTAGGATTTTTCATGGGCAACAAATATTGAGAGAAGCATATCAGAGTCATCAGTAGGTATTTTCCACCCTCACAGATTGTGATTCATGCCCTACGTGCTTGGTTGTGACTCCCAGCCGAAGTCAGGTTAAACTCTTCCTCCAGACAGGAATGAGTCACATCCCACAGCCAGTAGAGTAGAAGTCTGGAGAGCCATTTCTGGCTGAGAATCCAGAGGCCCGTTGGCTTCTAGCTCCCTGCCTCTCCCTTCCTCAAGAGGAAAAGATGGAGTGCAGGGAACAGATGTACCTGCTCCCTCTCTTTCTTCCTCCTTTGGAAACTTCCGGAAGCTACACAGAATTGCTGCGGTCCAAGCTCTCCATGGCCTCTCCTTTAGCACAAGAAAGGAAGATAATTATGCTAAACTGAAATGCAAAGAAAGAATGAAGAGAACTGGGGTGACTGACCGAGTTTTGTTGCCTTCCAACCCAGGGCTATTATTTCAGCAAGGAACAAAGGGGCACTGGAACCACTAGCAATAGTACCACTTTGCAAGGTGCATTAACAGCTGTAGAAATCATTATAAACAAAACCTCTGCATGGTGAATTCCCTGAGTACGACTGGACTTGTGAGCCTGAAAGCATTTGTGGTGTTTTACGCAGTAATCTAATGTACATCTTGAGCCTTCTCATAGACCTGTTTTGTAAAGAGTTGATAATCTAAGGCCATGTTATTTTTAGAATTATAAAAATAACAGGTGCACTTGTCAGCCATCTCCCAGTGAGAGCCCATTCCCTTGAACTAGTTTTGGATATGCCCAGGTTCTGTTCTCAGCTATCCTGGTTCAGTCTCTTTTTTCACGATCTTTAAATATAATCTGCTGTTATTCTGTTGGTATGTTTGTCTTCCCTGCTAGGCTGCCTACTTTGAGAACAGGGGCCACTTCAGTCTTCTTTGTTGCTCAATTTCTAGTACCTAACACAACACCTGACATACAGAAGGTGCTGAACAGATATCAGGTAAATGAATGCATTTCTGTGTACATTTTTAGTTTTTATTTTATCACTTATTAGAATATAAGCTCTATTGAAGATGGGATCCTATCTGCTTCCTTATCTCTACACCTTAAATATACCGCACATATTTACTGAATAAAGATTGTGAGGCAAGATAAATCCAGTGCTCTAAGCTAAATGAAATCTCTATGCACATGACTTTTTCAAAAAGTAGTGGGCTTGATTTATGAAGATGACTCATTGCTACCAAATTCCAGTCAGCTTTCAGATGATTTTTTTCTTTGCCAAATAATCTAGTAAAGATGGTGACTGAACTCTTCCAAATAAGTATTTTGAAGTATAAAACAGGCCACTAGCCACAGTAAAGGCAACTGTAACTCTCAGGAAAACCATGATTACCCATGGCTCAAAAGCCTTTTGCTGTGTTTGCTTACCCTTGGAGCAGATAAAAGGCCTGTTTGGAAATGTTCATGTCTCCTCTATGATTTGTAGGCTGTGATATGCCCGTTATAGAAGCATGTACCCAGTGGTCACTAAGTACTATTTAAATTTAAATGGAGGCAGAAAATATGAGATGGTCTGGCAATCTTCCAAATAGAGTACAGCCTGAAATCCAGTGGACAACGAGAACTGCAATTCTAAATGCAGTAAGAGAAAGATGGAATTTTGGCTTTCATAGAAAAAGTAACTCCTATGAAAGGCTTAAATATAAAGTGAATAATCTTAAACTCTACTTCATTTGGGGATAAAAACAGCCTTCTTCCTTTCATTTTGCTCTCACCTACCCAAATGATATGGAATGTCTAAACTTTTCTTAGGTCTGATAATGCTGAAGAGGGCCTGCCAGTGTTTAAGTTCTAACATTTGGTTATAGGTTGAGTCACTCCCAACTTTCAAGCATACAAAATGACAAGCATTAATTCACGTACCTATTTTGCAAATTAGATAGAGAGTATTTCATTTTTTATATCAGTAAATTTGAAATGACTCAAACTACCAGGGTAATAACTTGTGTGTTCATTTTGCCTGGTATTATATTAATCTCTTTTAATAAGTTATATTTGATATCAAACTTTAACAATACTTAAGGAATAAAAATTCTAGTTTTGTAGGAAAATTAAACATTTTAGAATTTTTCCTTCTTTTTTGAGACAGAATCTTGTTTTGTGGCCCAGGCTGGAGCGCAGTGGTGTGATATTGGTTCACTGCAGTCTCCGCCTCCTGGGCTCAAGCAGTCCTCCCACCTCAGCCTCCCGAGTAGCTGGGACTACAGGCATGCACCACCACTCTTGGCTAATTTTTATATTTTTGTAGAGACAAGGTTTCGTCAAGTTGCCCAGGCTGGTCTTGAACTCCTGGGGAACTACAGGTATAAGCTGCTGCACCCAGCCTAAAATTTTTCCTTTAAAAATAACCATTGAAATAAGTAAAAACTACAAATATTCCTTTATTAAAAATTCACATGATCAATATCAAGAACACTACTTTTTAGACCTTAATACAAGACACTTTAAAATCTTAAATTTGCTAAATTAAGAAATGCTCTTATTCCATAGATATTTTCTTTAGTAGAAAGACTATCAAAATGTCATCTGATTCTATTATGAACCTTACCTTTCATACTAAAATTATATATTTAAAGTGATACAATTCTGTTGTGAAATGCATCTACTGGAAAATGCAATTTTATTTAAATGACCTCACTTATATTTCTCCGTTTAGTTGTTTTACAATGACCATGCAAGGAACCATCCCTTGTATATTTTATATATATCAATTATGTATTTTGTATATATAATTTATATTTTATATATGTTAAATATTTTATACATATTAATATTATAATAGTCCAAGTAGAGTATCATTACCCCTTCTGTATTATCCCTACATTTTTCTGATATGGAAACCAAGGCCCCAAAGTTATAAGAAGCTGCTCAAGACCAGGTCCTTTTCAGTCATATCACATAGCTCTTCAATAATCATTATCTTTTATTCATTTACCCATAGATTTAACAAAAACTTACTGATTGCCTACTACGCATCAGGCACTATGCTGCTCACTGAAGTGAAAGTTTTCCTCAAGATACTCCCAGTTTAATGGAAAAGACAAAAAGTGACAATGAGCTGTATAAGTGGAAGGAACAGCCTTGGGGGAAAGGCGAAATCTCTAATAAAAAACAAAAGAGGTAAGACTGGGTTAAGACTTAGGTAAAAGCAACTACCCACAATATTAATAATGTTACCTTATAATTATTGGAAGGCTTTCACTGTATCAGGCACCATCATCCTGCAAAGTGAGATTTTTAAATGGCATTCTTCATTTGATACAACCGTTTCGTATGAAGTAGGTTCTAACATTCGTTCCATCTTACGGGTGGGGGGTGGGCGGGAAGTTGTGTTAATCATTCAGGGTCACATGGCTGATGAATGTCTAGGCCAGAATTTGAACTCAAATCTGTCTAAAACCAAAGCTTAAGTAGTGGCAGGTCTCCATCTCTGTGCAGAGCCAGGCTAAGCTGTCTGATGAAAATAATGGGACAGAGGTAGAATTAAAAAAACTAAAATAAGGCTGGGCGCAGTGGCTCACGCCTGTAATCCCAGCACTTTGGGAGGCCAAGGCAGGCGGATCACAAGGTAAAGAGATCGAGACCATCCTGGCCAACATGGTGAAACCCCGTCTCTATTAAAAGCATAAAAATTAGCTGGGCGTGATGGCAGGCGCCTGTAGTCCCAGCTACTCGGGAGGCTGAGGCAGGAGACTCGCTTGAACCCAGGAGGTGGAGGTTGCAGTGAGCTGAGATCACGCCATTGCACTCCAGCCTGGGCGACAGAGTGAGACACTGTCTCAAAAAAAAAAAAAAAAACTAAAAATAAAAAAAACTGAGGAGATTGATAGACAGCCCAAGAATAAGAAAAGAGGCTGACATGGGAACATTAAAAGGATCACAGGCCAGCGTGGAAGCCCATTTCTTCCTCAACATAGCTCTCCACAGTACATACAGCAGGGTGCCTGTCCACACCCTTGGCCAAATTAAGGTGAGGCTATCTATATCTGTAACAGATGGCAGAAATAATCTTTCACCACAGAGAAGAGTATCCTTTTCTTTTAATCTCCATAAGTACTTATAATCTAATTCAGGTTTTCAGCTTCTCATCCCGGACCCTGAGAAAAGATCACCTTCACCTCATCTGTAATACCCACACTTAGCTGGGGGCTTGGAAGGTGGATCTGCTCCAGTACATGGCCTAGTCTCTCCTTCTCCCCTCCAGACCCAAGTGGCTATAGATTACCACAGCATTACCATAGTTCTGAGACTGTGCAGGGATATGAGGGTGGATGAGAAGAAGGTCCTGTCTCAGAGACCCAAGATAATCTCCAATTTTAGAAGATTCTTAGAGAAATGAGGGGCAGAAACTGATGCTGCCTGCATACACAACAGTTGACAACTGGCAAGGTGGAACGTGAGTGGGAAGGATGAAGAGGTCAAACAGGTTTTAAACATGAAGTCAAGATCCTTTCCCCCAGGTGCTACCTGACTGCCCTGCCTCCACCAAATACTGCCCTCCCACTAGCGAACAGTGAGCTCTGAAAGATTCCTCCGTATTTCCATGTCTCCAGTCCTAAGAACAGAATCATGTAGAACTCTAACCACGAGATTCTCACTATTAATCTTCCCTCCTCTGTTCTCCTGTGATATTCTAAAGACTCGAACTGTAATAAAAGCTATAACTTCTTAAATGTTTCCTTCCGCACTTTTTGTGCATACAACTATACAATGACACAAAGGAGCATGCATACTTTAATTAGAACTGCTTGGGCAGGTGCAGTGGCTCACACCTGTAATCTCAGCACTTTGAGAGGCTGAGGCGGGAGGACTGCTTGAGCCCAAGAGTTTGGGACCAGCTGGGCAACATAGTGAGACCAATCTCTAATAATAAAAAAAAAAAAAAAAAAAAAAAAAAGGAGGGCCTGGTGCATACCTGTGGTCCCAGATACGCAGGAGGTTGAGGTAAGAGGATCAATTGAGTCTGGGAGTCAATGCTACA
The DNA here is from genome assembly GCF_000001405.40 of Homo sapiens. Taxonomy (NCBI): domain Eukaryota; kingdom Metazoa; phylum Chordata; class Mammalia; order Primates; family Hominidae; genus Homo; species Homo sapiens. The sequence continues at coordinate 45,228,207 of NC_000012.12, read as the reverse complement.
GTGAGCCATGATTGCGCTACTCCACTACTGCACTTCAGCCCTGGCAACAGAAAGAGACCCTGTCAAAAAAAAAAAAAAAAAAAACAACACAAAAAGCCTAGGAGAATAGGATAGGCCACAGGGACCACTGATGGAACTATAATCCCTACATTCATGAGCCATTTATTGGGAGCCACTGTGTGTCAGCCCCTAGGATCTTTTGCTAAGATTTCCCTGAAAGAGATTCCCCCTAAAATAGTTTCTTGGCATCAACAGAATATTGTCAGTCTGCCCAAAGATCTGCAAGATAGGAAAAAACACACACAATAATTATCGCTTTGCTCTTTGCAGAAACCACATGCAATTCTTCAACCACCTTTATCTTTAAATGCATGTGTCTGCAGCACAGCCACTGTCATTACCCTTAATCTGACACTTACACTTGTTGAGCAGTTCCTACAGGCATAATACCACTATTGAGCAGTTCCTATATGCATAACATGATAGAAAGCAACAAAAATGGACAGCAATGTTTGATGGGAAAAGACTTAGTGATCAGGAGTTAAAAGTAGCAGTTTCCATGACAGTTTTATCTAAAAAAAAAAGAAAAAGAAAAAGAATTTATTATGAGGGTGATAATGTAACTGCCCTCATAAGTGTCTAAGTGAAAAGGGCCCCTTGTCCAGTACTGTGCATACCACCTCGCATCCTCCCAGCAACCACACAGGACTGAAGAAACAGGCTCAGAGAGGCTGAGAAGCTTGTGTCATTCAATCAATTCTAGGGGACATGGCACAAGGTGCTAGGTGACCATAAACTGAGGTCATCTGACCGTAAGACTTTCCTCTTCACTCCTTAACACTCTATATCAACAGCAGCCAATTACCTATATAAGTTCATCTTTCCTCCTTTTACTTTTCTTTCTTCTTAAGCAGCATCTAAGATCAGTAAACGGTTTCTTTACTATGGGTATCACTTTGGGAGGCCAAGGCGGGTGGATCACTTGAGGTCAGGAGCTCAAGACCAGCCTGGCCAACATGGTGAAACCTTGTCTCTACTAAAAATACAAAAAATTAGCCAGGCATGGTGGCGTGCACCTGTAATCCCAGTTACTCGGGAGCCTGAGGCAGGAGAATAGCTTGAACCCAGGAGGCAGAGGTTTCAGTGAGCCAAGATCGTGCCACTGCACTCCAGCCTGGGCAACAGAGCAAGACTCCATCTTCAAAAAAAAAAAAAAAAAAAAAGAAAATGATAATTTTTGTTAATTTTTTTAAATAAAGAATATCTTATGTTTTATGCAATTTAGGCATTCACAGCTTGTTTAATAGGAAGAAACAATGCAATTGTTTCAAATCATAATATAAATTATAATAAAAATTTTTAAATAATGTTAAGGATCTTATTGAGTTTCATATGCAGAGAAAATGTATTATCTTTCTTTAGAATTTAGTGGGAAATATATTTTTCTTAAAAATTTAGTACAAATCAGAAAAAAAGCATGTATAAGACTGTGACTATGTGACACCACAAGAAAACTTTAGCCATCATTTTGTTTGTGCAAAGCCAAAGATTATTTTTCAAACATCTAGATAGAATGTCTACAGAAATCACAAAAAATTCAATTATATAAACAAAATCTTAGTTTAGATAAAACAAGCTTTATAAATAAGCCTGTAATTTGCATAATTGTACTCTGTAAAAGAACATCTATTTGCATGGCTTTGACCTAAGGCTAAAGTTCTGCCAAAGTTATAATAAATATTAGAAAAGAGAACTTTAAGTGCCAATGTCCCTTTTTTTTTCAATTTCAAGTATTTGTACTTTAAAATAGTGTGGGAAATAGTAGAATTCCAATGTACTATTATGAAAGCATTAGATATAAAAGCAACATTTGGACTTCACAAAAGAATACATTTTCTTTCACTTGTATTTCTGGCTGATGAATAACTTACTGCAGCAAGATCTTTCAATTAGTATTCAAACATGTAGCCAGGGCAATAATAATTACCATGGCAGAGAAAGTTGCCTATTAACCCTTCAACTTGTCTTCTATGCAAGTGTTCCATCTGATGTGTTTTGGCTGAACAGTATTTGAATTGCTCTTTGGTCCATGTCCAAAATATTCTATTGTTGACATACTCATCTACCAGTATTCTTCAAACTGCTTTTTGGGATGGATGCTAATTAATTTTAGTTGCAATGACCAAAATACAAAACTAAAGAAAAAAAAATAATGTCATAAGACAATCATTTGGCTGAATAAAATTCCTTCAATCTGTATCTTTACATATGATTTACCAATCAGTTGAGTAGTACATTTCGTTGGCTAAAGGTAATTGGAAATATTTTCTGTTCTAAAATTGACTACTCTTGCACAGACCCAGCCCTGAATTCATTATAATCAGACAGCTTAAATCATATGGCATGCAAAGCTTCCATTAAAATCTAAAAATGTCTCACGCCTGTAATCCCAGCACTTTGGAAGGCCGAGGCGGGAGGATAACGAAGTCAGGAGATCAAGACCAACCTGGTTAACAGGGTGAAACCCCGTCTCTACTAAAAATACAAAAAAATTAGCCGGGCGTGGTGGTGGGTGCCTGTAGTCCCAGCTACTCGGGAGGCTGATGCAGGAGAATGGCGTGAACCTGGGAGGTGGAGCTTGCAGTGAGCCCAGATCTTGCCACTGCACTCCAGCCTAGGAAAAAGAGTAAGACTCCATCTCAAAAAAAAAAAATCTAAAAATGTCCCAAAACATATGTTTTGTTGAACATCTACTATGTGAAAAACATTACGATATTCAGGCTGTGAGATACAAAGATGAATAAGAAATCTTCTCCCCGCTTCAAGACGAGTGTTTTTGGTTAAGATGTACAGCTAAAATACAAAATACACACCAAGTAAAGTGTAACAGAAGAAAACCTAAAGGATTAGAGTGAAAACTTATTAAAATACAATCATTTTAATCATCTGCTACAGATATCACTAAGAGATCAATATCATCCTTTAATTTAAAGCCAAATCGTGAGTTTTTTTTTTTTTTTTTTTGAGACAGGGTCTCTGTTGCCCAGGCTGGACTGCAGTGGCACAATGACAGCTCACTGCAGCCTTGGCTTCCTGGGTTCAATTGAATCTTCCACCTCAGCCTCCAAAGCAGCTGGCACCACAGGCATGTGCCATGCCCAACTGATTTTTGCAGTTTTTGTATAGATTGGGTCTTAGTATGTTTCCCAGGCTGGTTTCAAACTCTTTCGCTCAAGCAATATTCCCACCTTGGCCTCCCAAAGTGCTGAGATAATAGGCATGACCCATCATGTCCGGCCCTTTATTTCCGGTATTCTTAATCCTTTATAATCTCCCTTCAAGAATATCAGAATTAAAATCCCATATAACTGATGGAAATTTTCATAGGAGCATTTGGTCTAAATTTCTAGGCTCCCAAAAGAAAAAATAATAAATGTAGAGCAATCGACATATGTGACTGCTGCAACCCCTTGAGAAAAGACGAGTGTGTATACAGCTAAAATACAAATTAAGTAAGAGTAACTCTTATTCTTTTAGAGCTGTGTTTGTCTCAGAACCAAATAAAGTATTTTAAGAGGATACTGGAGGACCTTTTGGAAAGCTATTATTTGACTTGAAAGAATGTGCAAGATAAATCATGTCTGTGGACTTGAAACTGAAAATAACAAAAGGTTTATAAAAAGAAGCAAGACTATTCTAAAAGAGAGTTTGAGGATAGTTTGCTTTGTTTTTAGCTGTCATCTCCTTGGTAGAGAGTGTGCATACAGACACACACACACATATGTATATATAATGTATACATATTTATACATGTGTATATATTTATGATATGTACACAACATGATCCCCTTGCCATCGTGAATAAGGCCAGGGTGTATCAAGATTTAATTTTTGAGAAATCATCATGCCTTTAGAAACACTCAGGACGCTCTGCTGTCCTAGCCCCATGCCCTCACCTGTCTTTTCATCCCAACAGGGCTGGCTCAGGTGCTGCCCCAATAGAGCTGTCCTGGATTCCCCTAGGCAAGGTCACGTGCTTTCTCCTTGGTATCACCACTGAACCTGGTACAGATCTTGATTACAGTATTAATCACAAGTTACTGAAATTATCCGTTTCCTTTCTAGACAGTGAGGTACTAGAGAACAGTGAACCTGGAACCTAGCAGAGTGCCTGGTAAAATACATACACTCAGCATTTTTAGAACAGATAACTGGGGGTATCTCAAAGTGCCACAGAAGAAGAAAATTCTACTAGGGCCATAAAACCACTAGGCATTATGTTAATCAAGTTATCTTAGAAGAATAAATCATCCATTCCTTCCACAATTACTTGCTTGGCTCCTACCAAGGTGCCATGAGGGACACAGCTTAAAACACAAAACACACAAGGTACCAGTCTTCAGGGAGCTTACATTTTAGAGGAGAATGAGGAAAAGAGACAACTCTTAAAAATTATAGCAATGGAATATGTACAATATTTAAGATATTTTGCATGATCTCTAGAAGACTTAAATAACCTAGGCCAGTCACCAAGAAATGTACACTATGGTTATGGGAATGATAAACGCAAAGATAATGAATAACAAAGACAAAATACAGGATGAATGCTAACTGCATAGAACAAAAAAATAAGTGAGAATTCATTGTGAGCACTTTGGGCTAAGAGGATCATTAACAACTTTCTGGGTTTGTGACAGACTTGGGAGGGGAGGGAGGCTGTGAGCAGAAAAACACTAAGTGTTTTTTCTATTCTCTTATTCAACAATCAACACAGAAGACTTCAGTGACCAAATGTGCAAGGATTTCTCCCCAGCAACAAGCAAGCAATCAATTCTGCAGTGGATACCAGCTGGGTATCCTCCAAGTGAATTCTGACACTATTTACCTGGAGATGGTGTCAGATCCCACAGTTAAGGGTTCAGTCCCACAAAATTGCCCCCCACTACTTCTGATGCCAATCACAAGCCCCGGGTCATTTTACCTATGCTTCTGATGAACTGTTTATAAATTGGGGTTCCCACGACACCCTCCTTGGGTTCCATTAATTTGCTGTAGTGGCTTGGGGAACTCAGGGAAACACTTCCCGTTTACCAGTTTATTATAAAAGATAAAGATGAAGAGATGCATAGAGTGAGGTATGCGGGAAAAGGCACTGAGTTTTCACGCCCTCCCAGGGCAAGCTACCTTCAGGTACCTCCACTGTTCAGCTATCCAGAAACTCCCTGAACCAGTCCTCTTGGACCTTTATGGAGACTTCATTGGATAGTCATGATTGAACCATGTTGAAAAGTGATTGGACAAAAAGCATACGATTTAATACTAATAGACTGAATGGGGAAACCCAGCAAGGCCTGTCTGATCAGATTTTTCTGGCATCTCTGTGCAGCATTCCTTCCTCCAGGGTATGGGGCAGGATCCCTTCTGAAATGGGGGTCTTATGGCCTACATTCAGACAAGGTAGATGGGAGAATTTCTTTATGGGCAGTTCTCACACAGAAAGATGGGGAAAGATTATAGTTTTAGTTTCTAAAATTGGAGAGACAAAGGTAAAAATAGGGCAGGTCAAAGATGGAGATTGTTTTCTGAGGCCTGCTTCTGCTTCTGAGGCCTAAAGCACCCCAACATTATAGCAAGAGTTATGGTAGTTATAAGCCAGGAACCATGGACAAAAACATATGTGTCATAATATCACAGGGAACCACTGAGAAAAAGAGGAGGTGAGGCTGAAATTACTATGAAGGGGAATGGTCTGGCCAGGCATGGTGGCTCACGCCTGCTCAGCACTTTGGGAGGCCGAGGCAGGCGGATCACCTGAGATCAGGAGTTCGAAACCAGCCTAGCCAACATGGCGAAACCCCATTTCTATTAAAAATACAAAAATTAGCCGGGCACAGTGGTGGGCACCTGTAATCCCAGCTACTTAGGAGGCTGAGGCAGGAGAATAACTTGAACCCGGGAGGCGGAGGTTGCAGTGAGCTGATATTGAGCCATTGCACTCCAGCCTGGGCAACAGAGCTGGAGTGGGGGGGCCGGGCGTGGTGGCTCATGCCTGTAATTCCAGCACTTTGGGAGGCTGAGACAGGCGGATCACGAGGTCAGGAGATGAGACCATCCTGATTAACACGGTGAAACCCCGCCTCTATTAAAAATACAAAAAAAATAGCTGGGTGTGGTGGCGGGGGCCTGTAGTCCCAGCTACTTGGGAGGCTGAGGTGGGAGAATGGAGTGAATCCAAGAGGCGGAGCTTGCCGTGAGCTGAGATCACGCCACTGCACTCCAGCCTGGGCAACAGAGCAAGACAACGTCTCCCAAAAAAAAAAAAAAAAAAAAGGAGTCGGGGAGGGAGAATGGTCTGAGCCAATGGTCAGAGGGGAAAATTAAAAGACTAGTTGGAACAGAAAATTCTCTCCTCCTGCCACCATCATCCTGGGCTCCTCTCTGCTTGCCGGAAACAATCAGCAGCTGAGAACCCACAGATGGCGCCTCTTTCATAAAGCTGTCAGACCCATTCTTCTCTATTCCATGACCACTGCAGGCATTTCTGACCCCAACTACTGGAAAGGCTTAGCTCTACTGTCTCCTTTCCCAACCCATTTTAGAACGTGCTACCATGGAGATCTTTCCAAAAGCAAATCCAATCCTATCACTCTTTTCATTAACATCCTTCAGGAGCTCCAAATCACATACAGAGTAAAACCCAAAATCCTTAAAGTGTATGGAGGATCCTTCACGGCATAGCCTCTCCCTGCCTTCCCTAGCAGGCAACTATTTGGAACTCCAGACTCTCCTCCGGCCATCTCTGCACTACATTTTCCTAGTCTTTCAGCATCTGACCCAAAAATCTCTTCTGTGAAGCTCTCTCCCAGTCTCTCCCTTCAGTTTTATATGTACCTTTTATTGCAAATCTCTGTCTGATGATGCAGAGAAAACCAAACTCAGGTTCTCCTTCTGTACTCTCAATACAATCAACACAGAATACGTTTATCACCAGATGTGGGAAGAGTTCTTCCCACATGACAAGCAAGTAGTTGTTCAGCAATGAACGCCAGCTGGGCGTCCTCTAAATCAACTCAATTCGGATACTATCCACCTGCAGTAAGCCTCAGAGCTCAGATTGAGGGCTCAGTCCTACAAGGCTGCCCCCCCCCACTTCCGACACCAATCACAGGCCCCAGGTTGTTTTGCCTGGGTTTCTGACCCACCGGCTACAAATTGAGGTTCTTGCAACACCCTCTTTGGGTTCCATTAATTTGCCAGGGCAGCGCACAGAATTTTTGGGTTCTTATGGAGGCTTTATTACATAGGCATGATTGATTAAATCATTAGCCACTGGTGATCAGCTTAACCTTCAGCCTGGCTCTTACCCCTCTTCAGGTTGGTAGATGGGGCTGGAAGTCCAAACCTTTAATCCTGCCTTGGTCTTTCCAGTGACCAGCCCCCATCAGGAAGCTACCTAGGGGCTGCCAGCCATCTGTCAACTTATTAGCATACAAAAAGACACTTACCACTTTGAAAATTCCAAAAGTTTTAGGAGTTGCATGCCAAGAAACTGGAAGAATGCCTTATATATTTCACAATATCACAGTCTGGTTCTAAGGAACTTTTCTCCTGGAAGACACAGGTATGTCTTACTCATTTTCAGTCTCCCAACACCTGACCCAGCACCTAATCCTGAAACTAGCACAGAAGGATTGCTCAATCAATGTTTATGAAGGAAGACTGGGGCTAGTATCAGATTTATAGGTGATTAAACCTGAAGTAGGTAATAAGGAAAGAGAGGTGGGTGTGGGAAGATAAGTCTATGTAAAAATGTGACAGTTGAAAAGGGAGCCAATAGCTGGATCATTATCTCTCAAAGGTAATGGACCATGTCCTCTGTCTACCCCTCAATGACATACATGACCATTAGTGATGGGGATCAGACAGTAAACTACCATAAACAGACTAGGAACTCAAAGCAACCAACCAACCATCCACAAACAAAACCTCATTATCTGAACAGTCTGAATAGTTCCTGATAGTCTTTTTTGGAACCACTTTTCCTCCTTCAGCAAAGCTTGACCACAGAGAACAGAATTGAAGAAACAAAATAAAGCAGCATACTAATCTGATTTCTGCATTCTGGCTACAAAAGCTGTTCCTATAGCATTCTACATGAACAAGAAGAGATGCTGAATTTAATCCGCTGATGAGGGGGCGAAAAGCAGCCAAGGACACTCTTTTGCACACTTGGCAGGGTAGCACACAACCTAACTCCCAGGGGCTTGCAACAATATGTGATCTCCACCAGCACAACAGGGGCTTCAAACCACACATTTCCCACTACTACTGCCTGGATGTGGCTTCAGTGGTTGGTTGTTGGCTCTGCTTTAGAAATAAGTGGCCTATTGCAAAAATGCTCTAATGCCAACAGGTTGCCACACAAGCACGCCTTTGGAAATAATTTCTGCTGGCTGTAACTTAAACAAACAAGGAAAAGACATCCATAGTGAGATGTACTATCCTTGATTCTCCAGATCAGTTCATTCTAAACTAGGAGGCAACACTGACATAAAGTACTGAACAGCCAGGCATGGTGGCTCACACCTGTAATCCCAGCACTTTGGGAAGCCGAGGTAGGATAATCACTTAAGCTCAGGAGTTTGAAACCAGTCTGGGCAACAGTGAGACCTTGTCTCTACCAAAAAAAAAAAAAAAAAAAAAATTGGCCAGGCATGGTGTCACAAGGCCTGTGGTCCCAGCTACTCAAGAGGCTAAGGTTGGAGAATTGCTTGAGCCTGGGAAGTCAAGGCTGCAGTGAGCTGTGACTGCGTCACTGCACTCCAGCCTGACAGAGGGAGACCCTGTCTCTAAATGAATAAATAAAAGTACAATAAAAATACAGTGTTTCAAAAGTAAGCAGGAACCCACTGTTTAAAAGGCTCTAAATTCCAGCTACTAGAGGGCACATTTCCATATACATACATAAAGCATCTCTATGATATAATCAGGGACCCCATCCAGTTAGAAAGTTTTTTTTTGGGGGGAGGGGGAGGTCTCTTGCAAATTAGGCCATTATAACGCCCAATGGTATACCCAGGAACTCGTGTCAAAATAATTCTAAGGCTGGGTACAGTGGCTCATGCCTGTAATCCCAGAGCTTTGGGAAGCAAAGGCAGCAGAATGGCTAGAGGCCAGGAGTTCAAGACTGCAGCGAACTATGATCTTGCCACTACACTCTAGCCTAGGTGACAGAGCAAGACCCTGTCTCTAAAAATAATTCTCCCAGTCTGAATTATAAAGGTAATATTAATAGAGGGATTTCACAGAAATCTTCCGTACCCAAGTGGGTTTCAAACTATTATACAACTACTGACAGTGACAATCAAGTACTAGGAGAAATATTAGTTAATAGCGTAAATACAGACGTGCATTGCAAAATTAAAGGCAGAGGTTAAAATTATCTTCATTTCACCAGTCTCCTCTCCCACAGTTGGAAATAATAATTATTTTGTAAAAGGCTTTGGACCACTATCAGCCTACTCCTGGTAATCTTTAAAAAGGCTTATTCTTTTGTAAAGGCATAAACTTAACATTGGCATAGTTAAGTATTTTCTGATATAAAATCACTACAACCCACATTAAATTTGTACTTCCAAAAAAACAACCAACTAGGTGGATATGGTGGTGCCTAAAGTCCCAGCTACTTGGGAGGCTTAAGTGGGAGGATCGCTTGAGCCCCGTAGGTCGAGGCTGTAATAAGCCATGACCACATCACTGCACTCTAGCCTAAACGACAGAGCGAGACCCTATCTCAAAAAAAAAAAAAAAAAAAAAAGAGAAAGAAAGAAACAGAAATCACATTCATAGATACTGGGTGTTAGAACATCAGCATATCTTTTCATTCACTGAGAAGAAAAAAATATTGCCAAGACCTGTTTAAATGGTACCTGCTGCTTGACGTAAAATATGTTGAGATGACCCCTACAGTAGAGACCCCAGGGCCCCACAGGAATAGTGGGAAATGCCCTACTAATATTAACACTAAAGTATTAGTATTAGTAGTTTCTAGAGGGTGGGGAGGAGTAGAGATATTTAACTTTTTCTTAAGTCTATCTACACTGTTTGACTGGACAAAACTAGCATGAATGACATGTCATTAAAAATAAAAAGAGCTTACTGCCACACGCTTAAGATGAATTTATACGATGCCTCAATAGGTAAACACAGACTAGACCAAATTACTTTCTAAACTGAGATCTACTGCTGGCACAGTAAAACAAAGCTCAGAGCCTCTTGCTTACTTCAGTTTCCATTTGAGCTTCTGCCCTTATTTACTTACAATACTCATTATAAACAGTGCAGCTCACCATAAAAGACAATAATACTTTCCTGGGAAACAGACTGTGTCAATTTTATTGTAACTTTTTAAATTTCACTCCTATATTTTTATGTAATCATCAGGTACTACTTAATCTTGCTAAACAGTAGTAACAGCCAGAGTGACCCAGTGGTAAGAGCATTAATCTTCACTGGTTTTACAAGTCAGAAAACCTGGGTTTGAAAGTGTGAGAAGCTGGGCAGACCAACCTGTGCGCTTCAGTTTTCTCTCCTATAAAAACTACTACTATTTGCTCTCTCCTTAAAGATGAATAACTAGTAAATTGTTCTTAAATGAATGAATGAAATGTGAAACTAAATCATGGAGTGTAATCTCCTCTATTCGATTTGTCCCTGGACAACCAAGAAGTTACCAAATTTTTTTGATCGAAATATTCCGTGCCCAAAATGTAACAGAAATAAAAACCACACCCAACTCCTAAAATTAAGTTACTTTTAAAGTTATTAGATAACAACAGGGCTTTAGAACATCAGCAGGATGTTCTGCTTTAAAATTGATTTGGCATCCAGGAGACTAAGCCGAGTCGCCACAACAGACTGGCTTGGTAATTTAATTAGAGTCTTCTGGAGGGACACATTATATCATCATCCCCCGACAGTGTTCTCTTTAGGGACCTGATTTTCTCTCTAGTCCTCTCATTCCTTTCCCCTTCCTCACCTCCTCTCATCCCTTTTGTTTGCCCTTTTTTTCTTTTTTTGCTCTTAAAACAGCTCTCCCTCCGTTCGTCTTGTCACTTCCATGCATTTTTAACTCTAACTAGAAATGGGTCACCCCAGGTTTGCTCCCCAAGCCCCAGGGCCCCTCAGGACGAGTGAAAAAGGCCCTGCGGTCCTCCCTGCCTGGGGGAATTCCTCCTCCGATCACAGCTCCGGTGGGCTCCGCAGATGGGAAAGGGTTTCCAGCGCGCGCCTAGCGGCCACAAATCACTTCCCGGGGCCGCCCCGCCAGGCCTCAAACCTCCCAGAGCCGTCGGTCGGCTTTTACTTTAACGAGGATTCAGATGGGTCACACCCTGTCCTCCAAATGCGGGCCTGCTCCCCGGACCCCGCCCAGGGGGCTCGCCCCAGTGCCGAGGCTCCTGGGCAACCCTAGCACTCTGCGAGTCGGGGAAGTGACCCCAAAGTTGCTTCTGAGTGGAGACTTCCGCACGCAGAGGCGTCCCCGCAGCTGCCAGGCTTTTCAGGGGCAGCATCCCCCGCCCGTCAGGAGCCTGTCCTCGGGGCCACCACGCGCCCCGCGCCTCAGCCCCGCAGGGGCCGCACCGGGGCCTCAGTCTGCAAGCAGCCGGGGACAGCGGGCTTCCTCCCCTGCCCGGAGCGGCCGAGCGTCTCGGCCAACCTCCCCCGCGGAGAGCACAGCGCCCCCGCGCAGTCCCCGAACTTCTTCCCGCGTCGGCTCGGGCTCTCGGGTGGGGACGCGGGGACCCCTCGCTCACCGATATCCCCATCGTCGTCGTCCTCCTCCTCCTCCATTTGTAGCAAAACATTCCTGCTCATCTTTTTCATGTCTCCCTCAGAAGGCGGCTCCGAACTTGGCGCGAAGTTGGGGGCTCCCGGGTTCCAGAACGGCGCGGCTCTCCCAGGGGCCGGATCGGGGACCGCGGGGCGTGTGTCGCTTGGGCTCAGGGGCCGCTGAGCCCAGCCAGCGCCGGGGAAAGCCGAGCCGAGGCACCCACCGACCGGAGCCCAGAGCCGGAGGACGCCTCTCGCCTGCCGAGCGGAGCCCGGAGACTGAGCATGCCCAGTGCGGCCGCCGCGGCTCGCTGCGGAATGATTGAACTTCCCCGGTTTTACGAGGCGCGCAGAAGGAAGTCGGCAGGCGAGACTGCAGAGGGAGTAGTGCGATCCTGCGCGCGGGGGAACTAGCTGGAGGGCAAGGCGGGAACACGTGAGTGCGGGAGTGGACTGGGTTCCCTGAGCATTGATCCCAAACAGGGCAGCTTTTCGTTCCAAGGTCGTCTGTGGACACACACTGTGGCTTGCTTTGTTTTAACGTCTGATACTGGAGAGGAGGGAAATGCTGCTGCAGCACAACTGCAGAACCCTGGAAGGCGAACTCGTTTGAATGGCTTTTAAAGGCGACGTGGAGCTAATAATGGGGGGATCTTAAATTACTCTAGCTCCGAAGTGGGAAAGTGGAATCTGTACGGGTAGGTTAAGATTACGGTGGAGTCGGGGTGGGAGGAGAGGCAAAACTCAGAGAATAAGCAAAAGAAGAAGGGGCGGGACGGACGGGAGTGGGGGTGGAGAGAATTTTCTAAATAAACGTGTGCACAAAGGCAGGAGGATTTCCGCATACATTGAGGTCGCGGAGAGTGGAGAAGCGCCCCCTACTCCGCCCGCGCGAGCACACAGGGAGTGGTCGGAAGATAATCGCTGAAGCGTCCAGCCTATTTGTACAATTGAAACTAGTCCTCTGTGTCAAAGAGGGAGAAGAAGCCGAAGACCACTAGAGTTAGATGTAAACTCTTCTAAAGCAATGTGGAAAGCTATAATAAGAGAAAAGAAAGTCGTGAAATAAAATTAAGGCAGAGAGTTTTTATTTTTATTTTTAATGCTTTCCTGGAAACCAAAGGGACCGATAGGACAAATACAAAGGGATTTAGTACTTTAAAGACCCTTGGAGTTGTTTGAACGGCAGGTTTTGGGGATCGCGTGTCTACAAAACTTTTTTCAAAAAAGCTGGTACATTCAGGTTGTTCAATTTTGACTTCTCAAAAGGGCTAGAAGGTATATTTGAAATCTTGGTTATATGTGTTATTGTCTACTCATTGAAATTGTTTATATTTTTTCCACTGAAGTGCTAGGGTTATCACAATAACACTAAATCTACTGTGCATGTTTTTTCTTCCACATACTTTTTTTAAGACGGTCTCGCTCTGTTGCCGAGGTGGGAGTTCAGTAACTAGAACTACAAGCGGAGCACACCACCATGTGGGGCTTATTCTTAAATTTTTTTGTAGAGATGGGTGTCTCACTATGTTGCCCAGGCTGGTTTCGAACTCCTGGCCTCCAGCAATCCTTGCACCTCAGTTTCCTAACATTTTTAATGTTCTCTCTGAAAGAAAGAAAACATTGGGACCAATCTTAAGTGGGAAAATAGACATGAATATATACATGAAAAGACATGATGAAATTACTTTTAAGAAAATACCTGGGAAACACTATACTTGCTTCTTGAGGTACTTTTTTTGAATAAACAGAATTGTTTTTAGTATAAAGAGACAACAATACAGTACTCTGAAGATAGGAGAAAAAAATGATGGGAGAAGAAAGATGAGAAGAGATTGTTTCCTTTCACTGAACACTCTCCCCTGAGCTTGTGAAACTCACTAAAAGTAGAAACTTCAAAAGTGTTTTGGTTACATGATCAATTTTTACAATTTTCTTTTAACAAATTTTTGTGTAGTACTTTTTATGTGCTAGGAAAAGTTTTACATGTTTTATAAGCATCCAGTCATTCAACCCTCATAACAACCCTAGAAAGTGTTATCATTTTTCTTCAGGTGTGAGGCAACTTGAGCAACTTGTCCAAAATCACACAGGGAATAAATAGTGGAGCCAGGATTGAAACCTCAACAGCTTGTTTCAGAATCAGTGCTCATAGCCTCTTCATAAACCACCTCCAGAGACATGTCCCAATCCATTTTTTTTTCAGATCACTTTTTCCCCCACCAATTCAAAATTCAAAGTCTCATCAACTCCCTGCCATAGTTCTTTAACCAAATGTTCTCTCTTTTTTTTTTTAAGACAGAGTCGCGCTCTGTCACCCAGGCTGTAGTGCAGTGGCTAGATCTCGGCTCACTGCAAGCTCCACCTCCCAGGGTCACGCCATTCTCCTGCCTCAGCCTCCGGAGTAGCTGGGACTACAGGCGCCCACCACCACGCCCAGCTAATTTTTTGTATTTTTAGTAGGGACGGGGTTTCACCGTGTTAGCCAGGATGGTCTAGATCTCCCGACCTCGTGATCCGCCCGCCTCTGCCTCCCAAAGTGCTGGGATTACAGGCGTGAGCCACCGCGCCCGGCCTTGTTCTCATTTTTATGGACTAAGACTTCGGTCAAAGTTACTTTGTAGTTAAAAAATTATCGAAGTTGACTTTGCAACAAGTTTTAATTAGTCATTTAGAATTCTTCACAGATTTTTAAGAGTTTACATTTTTCTTCTTTGATAAATGTTGCAGCGAAACATTGTTGGCCTTATATGTAAAGGTAACTGTTGCTAGAAGGGAACTCTATTATTAGTAAATTCCATTCTTTCCTCTAATCCATTTTATTTCCTACCACTTCTCTTCTGCATTTTTTTTCAGTTGAGCAATCAATATATGCCTCAGAAATAGGATAATAGGCCTATGTAAGAACCACACATTTAACCCTGAAGAATTATCATCCATACAATAATAATTTGTGAAATAAAATATTAATATACAGCCAGGTTATTTGTATTTGCAAAGCTTTTTCAAGTCAGGGATCGCAGAACAATTATTTTCTCATTCATTCATCTGATTAAATACAACTTTTGGCCACCAGGATATTCTTTCTCTGCCCATCCTGTAAAAGTTGTTGCTTTTCTAGCTTCAGGTCTTGGGTCTCTTTTCTTCTCATCTTTCCCTATAGAACTCATTCAGTCCTATAACTTTACTATCTAATCCAGGCAGGGTCAGCTTGATGGGCATTCAAACAGTGTATTCACACAGAGCCCTACACTCTTATGGGCCTAACACTTGGGATTTAAATGTTCTGTGGTTAATGCCCATCAATGATAGACTAGATAAAGAAAATGTGGTACATATACACCATACTATGCAGCCACAAAAAGGAATGAGATCATGTCCTTTGCAGGGACATGGATGAAGCTGGAAGCCATTATCCTCAGCAAACTAACACAGGAACAGAAAACCAAACACCACATGTTCTCACTCATAAGCGGGAGCTGAACAAAGAGAACACATGGATACAGGGAGGGGAACAACACACACTGTCGGGGGGTGGGGTGGGGGGAGGGAGGGCATCAGGATAAATAGCTAATGCATGTGGGGCTTAATACCTAGGTGATGAGTTGGTAGGTTCAGCAAACTACCACGGCACACGTTTACCTATGTAACAAACCTGCTCATCCTGCACATGTATCCCAGAACTTAAAATAATTTTTTAAAAAAGATTCTGTGGTTGCCATCCTGAAATTCTTTTCTTTTCTTCTTCTACTTTTATTTTAGGTTCTGGGGGTACATGTGCAGTTTTGTTATGGGTAAATTGTATGTTGCTGAGGTTTGGTGTATGAATGATCCTGTCACCCAGGTATTGAGCGTAGTACCCAATAAATAGCTTTCCAACCCACCCCACTCCCACTCTCCCCGCTTAAGCAGTCTCCAGTGTCTATTGTCTCCATCTTTGTATCCATGTGTATTAAATGTTTAGTTCCTACTTACAAGTGGTAATGTGCAGTATTTGGTTTTTCTGTCCCTGCATTAATCTGCTTAGGATAATGGCCTCCAGCTGCATCCATGTTGCTGTAAAGGACATGATTTGGTTCTTTTCTATGGCTGCATGGTATTTCATGGTATATATATATACCACATTTTCTTTATCTAGTCCATCATTGATGAGTGTCTTGGTTGATTCCATGTCTTTGCTGTTGTGAATAGTGCTGCAGTGAACATACCAGTGCATGTTCATCTTTTTAGTAGGACGATTTATTTTTCTTTGGGTGTTTAACCAGTAGTGGGATTGCTGGGTTGAATGGTAGTTTTGAGTTCTTTGAAAAATCTCCAAACTGCTTTCCATAGTGGCTGAACTAATTTACATTCCCACCAGCGGTGTATAAGCATTACCTTTTCTCTACAACCTCAACAGCATCTGTTGTTTTTGACTTTTCAGTAATGTCCATTCTGACTGGTGTGAGATGGTATCTCATTGCAGTTTTGATTTGCATTTCTCTAATGATTAGTGATGATAAGCATTTTTTTCATATATTTGTTGGCCACGTGTATATCTTCTTTTGAGAAGTGTCCGTTGATTTCCTTTTGCATGTTTTAATGGGATTGTTTCTTTTTTGTCTGTTGAATTAAGTTCCTTACAGATTCTAGATATTAGACCTTTGTCTGATGCATAGTTTGTAAATAATTTCTCCCATTCTGTAAATTGTCTATATACTCTGTCGATAGTTTCTTTTGCCATGCCAAAGCTCTTTAGTAGGTCCCACTTGTCAATTTTTGTTTTTGTTGCCATTGTTTTCTGGGACTTAGTCATAAATACTTTGTCAAGACCAATGTCCAGTATGGTACTTTCTAGGTTTTCTTCCAGGGTTTTTATTGTTCTAGGTCTTACATTTAAGTCTTGAATCTGTCTTGAGTTAACTTTTTTATGTGGCGAAAAGAAATGGTCCAGTTTCAACTTTCCGCATATGACTAGCCAGTTATCCCAGCACCATTTATTGAATAGGGAGTCCTTTCCTCATTGTTTGTTATTATTGACTTTTTAAAGATCAGGTGATTGTAGATATGTGGCTTCATTTTGGGGTTCTGTATCCTATTCCATTGGTCTATATGTCTGTTTTTGTACACATCATGCTCTTTTGGTTACTATAGCCTTTGGTTTGAAGTCAGGCACTGTGATGTTATTTGTTCTTTGTTCTAGCTTTGTTATTTTATTTATTTTATTTTATTTTAGTTATTTTATTTTATGTTATTTTATTTTATTTTATTTATCTGAGACGGAGTCTCGCTCTGTTGCCCAGGCTGGAATGCAGTGGCCTGATCTCGGCTCACTGCAACCTCCACCTCCTGGGTTCAAGCCATTCTCCTGCCTCAGCCTTCCAAGTAGCTGGGACTACAGGTGCACACCACAACACCCAGCTAATTTTTATATTTTTAGTAGAGATAGTATTTCACCATGTTGGCCAGTCTGGTCTCGAACTCCTGGCCTCAAGTGATCCACCTGCCTCAGCCTCCCAAAGTACTGGGATTACAGGTGTGAGCCACCACACCCAGCCCAGCTTTGTTATTTTTGCTTCGGATTGCTTTGGTGATTTGGGCTCTTTTTGGTTTCATATGAATTTTAGAATACTTTTTTCTAATTCTGTGAAAAATAGCTGATAGATTGACAGGAATAGGATTTAGTCTATAAATTGCTTTGGGCAGTATGGCCATTTTAACAATATTGATTATTTCTATCCATTAGCATGGAATGCTTTTCCCTTAGTTTGTGTCATCTCTGATTTCTTGCTGCAGTGTTTTGTAATTCTCATTGCAGAGATCTTTCACCTCCTTGGTAAGCTCTGTTCTTTGGTATTGTATCCTTTTCTTTTAGTAGTTACTGTAAACGGGATTCCTTTCTCTCTTTTTTGTTCTTTTTCTTTTTTCTTTCTTTTCTTTTTTTTTTTTTTTTTTTTGAGATGGGGTCTCACTCTGTCACCTAGGCTGGAGTGCAGTGGCAAAATCACAGCTCACTGTAGCCTTGACCTCCCAGGCTCAAGCTTTCCTCCTGTCTCAGCCTCCTGAGTAGCTGGGACTACAGCCACATGTCACCATGCTTTGGTAATATTTGTTTTAATTTTTATAAAGAGGGTCTGCCTGTGTTGCCCAGGCTGGTCTTGAACTCCAGGGCTCAAGAGATCCTCCTGCCTCAGCCTCCCAAAGTGCTGGGATTACAGGCTTGAGTCATGTGCCCAGCCAGGATTGTGTTCTTGATTCGGCTCTCAGGTTGGCTGTTATTAGTGTATAGAAATGCTGCTGATTTTTGTACATTGATTTTATATCCTCAAACTTTTCTAAAGTTATGTATCATCAGTTCTAGGATCCTTCTGGCAGAGTCTATGGGGTTTCCTAGGTATAGAATCAATCATCTGCAAAGAGAAATAGTTTCATTCTCTCTCTTCCTCTTTAGATGCCTTTTATTTCTTTCTCTTGCCTGATTGCTCTAGCTAGGACTTTCAGTACTATGTTGAATAGAAGCAGTAAGAGTGGGCATCTTTGTCTTGTTCCAATTCTCAACAGAATGCATCCAGCTTTTTGCCTGTTCGGTATGATGTTGGCTGTGAGTTTGTCATATATAGCTCTTATTATTTTGAGATATGTTCTTTTGATATGTAATTTGTTGAGGGTTTTTAATATGAAGCGATACTGAATTTTATTGAAAGCCTTTTCTGCATGTATTGAGATGATCATGTGGTTTTTGTTTTTAATTCTGTTTGTGTGGTGAATCGCATTTATTGATTTGTGTTTGTTGAATCAACCTTGCATCCCAGGAGTAAAGCCAACTTGATGATGGTAAATTAACTTTAATGTGCTACTGGATTCAGGGATGACTGGTTTTTAAGACTTGCTTGTCAGAGAGTTCACTCTCATGGTGCTTCTTAGCAGGCGCCTCTGTTTCTTCCTGCGAAGGCCTCTCCACAGGCTGCTTAAGTGTCCTCATGGCATGGTGCAATGCAGCGGAGTAGATGAGATGGAAGCCAGAATGTCCTTTATGACCTTGCCTTGTAAGTCACAAATTGTCTTTTCTGCTATTGGTTACATGTGTCAGTCTGCTGTATAAACTGTAGGAGGGGCTGATGCAAGAGCATGAATACTAGAGGCGGGGACCACTGGGAGCATCTCGGAGGCTGGCTGCCACACATTTCCACTATCTGTGTTCTGACTCATACTGCCATCATTCTTCATTCAATTGTTTATTCATTCAACAAATATTGGCCAGGCAATAATCCCAGCACTTTGGGAGGCCGAGGTGGGTGGCTTGCCTGAGCTTAGGAGTTCAAGACCAGCCTGGACAACATGGTGGAACCTATCTCTTCTAAAAATACAAAAATTAGCTGGGTGTGGTAGCGTGCGCCTGTAATCCCAGCTACTCAGGAGGCTGAGGCAGGAGAATCACTTAAACCAGGGAGGTGGAGGTTGCAGTGAGCCAGGATCACGCCACTGGACTCCAGCCTGGGTGACAGAGTGAGACTCTGCCTCCAAAAAACAAACAACAAAAAACCCTCAAATATTTACTGAGAACTATATGCTGGCCACTTTCATGGATGTTGGGGATTCAGTAGTTAAAATGAAAACAGACCACTTTGCTGCCCTCATGACCTTCCATTCTAGTGAATAGAGACAAGTAAATAAGTATATGTCAGGAGATGACAGGTACTAGTGAGAAAAATGAAGCAGGGCCAGAATGATAGAGAATGATGACTGAGGAAGGACCTTGTGTGGGGTGGTCAGGGAAAGCCTCTGATAAGCTGACATTTTAGCAGAGATCTGAAAGAAGTAACAGAACAAGACATGTAAGTACCCGCGGGAATAGGGTTTTAAGAAGAGAGAAATACAAAGGCCAGAGCCTTGAGGACACTCATGCTTAGTGTCTTCAAGAAGAGCAGAAAGGCCATGGTGACTGTGGTATAATGTCTTAGTTCACTTTGTGCTGCTATAACAGAATACCACAGACTGGATAATTTATGGTAAAAAAATGTATTAACTAATATTTCTGGAGGTTGCAAAGTCCAAGATCAAGGGACTCACATCTGGAGAGGGCTTTCTTGCTGCCATCCCATGGTGGAAGGTGAAGGTCAAAATAAGGTAAAGCATGAGACGGTATTGAACTCATCCTTTTAAAATAAACTCACTCTCGGCCAGGCGCGCTGGCTCATGCCGCCTGGGAGGCTCAGTTGGGTGGATCACAAGGTCAGGAGTTCAAGAACAGCCTAGCCAAGATAATGAAACCCCATCTCTACTAAAAATACAAAAGATTAGCTGGGCGAGGTGGCAGGCGCCTGTAATCCCAGCTACTTGCGAGGCTGAGGCAGGAGAATCGCTTGAACTTGGAGGGCGGAGGTCGCAGTGAGCTGAGATCGCGCCACTGCACTCCAGCCTGGGTGACAGAGTGAGACTCCATCTGAAAAATAAAATAATAACAATAATAATAAACTCATCCTCAAGATAATGGCGTTAATCCATTAATGAGGGTGGTGCCCATGACTCAGACACCTCTCATTAAGGTCCTGACACTACTGCACTGTGGACCAAGATTTCAACATATGACTTTGGAGGACACATTCAAACCATAGTGCCTACTGGTGGAGGAGGAGAGTGGTAGGAGATGGGGTCAAGGTTGGTGAGAAAGAGGGAGTGCTACTAATCACTTTGGGCCATGTGGGGCAACAGAAGGACTG
The DNA here is from genome assembly GCF_000001405.40 of Homo sapiens. NCBI lineage: Eukaryota > Metazoa > Chordata > Mammalia > Primates > Hominidae > Homo > Homo sapiens. The sequence continues at coordinate 45,207,676 of NC_000012.12, read as the reverse complement.
GTGATTTTACTCTAAATCACATGGAAATCATATTTGAAATAGATGGGTGGCATTATTTAACATATTTTAAAAGGATCTTTCTGACTGCTTTATGAAAAATGGACTGTAGAATAGCAAATGTAGTCACAGAGAGACCAGTTGGGAAACTAGTTGTATAATATAGTGAAGCGATTGGCTGGGCGCAGTGGCTCACGCCTGTAATCCCAACACTTTGGGAGGCCAAGGTGGGCAGATCACCTGAGGTCAGGAGTTCGAGACCAGCCTGGCCAACCTGGCGAAACCCCATCTCTGCTAAAAATACAAAAATTAGCCGGGTGTGATGGTGCATGCCTGTAATCCCAGCTACTCGGGAGGCTGAGACGGGAGAATGGCTTGAACCTGGGAGGCAGAGATTGCAGTGAGCTGAGATCGTGCTGTTGTACTCCAGCCTGAGCAACACAGCAAGACTCTGTCTCAAAAAAAAAAAAAGACATATATATATAGTTTATTCAGAAATATATCCAGAATATGTATAGTCTATTCAGAAATATATCCAGAATATATATATGTATATATATGTATAGTGAATACATTTATGGTCTTTTCAGAACATATATATATATATGGAGTCTATTCAGAAATATATCCAGAATATATATATGTGTGTGTGTGTGTGTGTGTGTGTGTGTGTGTATATATATATGTGTGTATATATATAGTACACATATATAGTGTATATGTACTATATATACTATATATACACTATATATACACTATATATAATATATATAGTATACATAGTATATATAGTGTATATATAGTATATAGAGTATAGAGTATATATATACTATATATACACTATATATAGTATATATATACTCTATATAGTATATAGAGTATATATAGAGTATATATAGTATATGTATAGAGTATGTATATACTATATATAGTATATAGAGTATATATAGTATATGCATATTTTATATATAGTATATGTATATAGTATATATATATATATATATATAGTGAAGGGATGATTGCAGTGAACTGGGTGGTAATGGTAGATGTGGATTATGTGTTTTTGAGGTAGATCTGAAAAGAGTTTCTGATGTAGTGAATTTGGGTATGGGGGAAAAACGAAAGTCAAGGATGACTCTAAGGTTTTAACTTGAGTTATGAGAATGGAGTTGCTGTGTCTGAGATGTGAAAGACTACAGGAAAGCAAGGGGGTGGGGAAATAGTGTATTTTTTTGGACCTGTAAGTTTGAATGTAATATTAGACATCTATGTGGAGATGTCCAGTAGGCATGAATCTGGAATTTGGAGGAGAGCTTTGCACTAGACATATAAACTTAGAACTGAATAAGATCACTTGGAAAATGAGTTTCTACAAAGGGGTGATGTCTGAGGATTGAGGATTGAGCCCTAGGACACTTTTCTTCAACATACGCATGGGGAAAATGAGAAATAATCAGCACAGGAGACTAAACAGTAGTGGGCAGTCAGCAATGGGGAACAACAGGAAAGGGTGAGGTTGTAGAAGCCAAGTTAAAATTTTTTTCACAAAAGGAGGAAATGATCTCCTGTGCCAAATGAATCTGATTGGGTGGCTTTGTAAAAACTAGCTATTTAGCAATTTTTCTGTAGCTAGAACAGTTTTCTTTCTTTTCTTTTTTTTTTTTTTTTTTTTGAGACGGAGTCTCGCTCTTGTTACCCAGGCTGGAGTGCAGTGGCACGATCTCAGCTCACTGCAACTTCTGCCTCCCGGGTTCAAGCGATTCTCATGCCTCAGCCTCCCAAGTAGCTGGGATTACAGGTGCATGCCACCACACCTGGCTAACTTTTGTATTCTTAGTAGAGATGGGGTTTCACCATGTTGATCAGGCTGGTCTCGAACTCCTGACCTCAGGTGATCCACCTGCCTAGGCCTCCCCAAAGAGCTGGGATCACAGGCATGAGCCACTACACCTGGCTAGAACAGTTTCATTTGAGATAGAATAGAATCAGCCATTGGATTTTGTGATGGGAATTTATTGGTGACCACAATAGTTTCAGAGGCGGGAACGAAAGTTTAGAATGGCTTCACAGGAGAATGAAAGAAGAGGAAGTGGTCATAGTGACTATAGACAACTCTTTGATGCCACCTGAAACTCCTTGAGACCCATGAATGCTAGACTTCTCTCCATCTCCACTTGAATGCTAATAGGCAACTAAAATTTAACAGATTGAAAATTGACCTCCTGATTTTCCTCCCAGACCCTGGGCTACCCATAACCTCCATCTCAGATAATCAAAACTCCATCCTTCTAATTGCTCAGGCCCAAAACTCTCGAGTCAGCATTAACTCCTCTATTTCTTGTACACCCCATATCCAATCTATCAGCAAAGCCTTTTTAGTCTATTCAGAAATATATCCAGAATTATATCACTGTGCCCAACCTTCACTACCAATGTCTCATCTGTGACATCATCCTCTGTCACTTGGATTATATTCCTATCTGGTTTCCCTGCTTCCACCTCTGTCCCCTACATAGTCCACCCATGACATAGCAGCCAAAGTAATGCTTTTATTTTGTTTGTTTGTTTTTTGGCAAAGTAATGCTTTTAAACCATAAGGCAGACCATATCTCTCTTCTCTAACTACCAACAGCTCCCCATTCTAGCTAAAGTCTTCACAAAGCCATCCTATTTAAATTGCAAAATCTCCAGAGTCACTCTGTATGGTTGTGCAAGATATTTATTCTGCAAAATGCCTGGTCCAGGGGAATCAAATGAGGGCTAGCTCAGGCTCTGCTTGCCAAGCCACGTCGCTTGGTATAAGGCTCTGTCTGTATAAATTTCCCAAACAGGTTGTCAGCAACCCTCGACCCCTCTACATCTGTACTCCTTATCCCTCTTACTTTGCTTTCTTTTTTCCTTACCTTGTAGGCTCCTTTTACATACTATAGAATTTGGTTCCTTATTCTGTTTCTTGTCTGTCTTCACCAACTAAAAGATAAACTCCATGAGAAAAGTGCTTTTGTCTTTTATTCCTTACCATGTCTCCAGCATCTAAAACAGTGCCTGGCACATAGTAGATACTCAATAAATAATTTGAATTGAGTTTTTCTGTAGAGTAGTGGAGAAATGCAGTGGTAGATAGAAACATAAATGGGGGTCAAGAGAGGGAAAGGTTTCTAATGTGGGAGAGAGAAGGAGACGTTGCTGTTCTGATGTCCTTGGGTAAGTGAACGTGATGAGTTCCAGCACACCCTGGAGATGTGGGCTATGAAAATCAGGCTAAAACTTCCATCACAAGAACCACAGGGAAGGTAGAACATATGGATACAGATGTAGGTATATTTATTTTGAAAGCTTTAAAACATATAGAAAAGTTGAAAGAATAGTATAACAGATACCTGTACATCTATCACTAAGCTTCAACAATTGTGAATATTTTCCTATATTTGATTTATCTGTTTGTCTCTCTGTGTATATTTTACTGAACCATGTCAATGTTGCAGACATCATAATACTTCATCCCTACATAAATAATATATTCATACAGAGGATATTTAACAATATTTCCCTCAAATCGACTAATATCAATTCATATTCAATTCTCCCCAACTGTCTTAGTCTTGTATGGCTAAGTTCTTCATACAAGCACCCAGTCACATTTCACACACTGCAATTGGTTATGCTCCTGAACTTTGTTCCCCATGACTTTGACTTTTTCAAGAAAACAAGATAGCTGTGGGTGATATTTTTCCTCTAATGGTGTTGTGCAATGTCCAGTATTTTCTGTAATCTGGACATTAGGCAAAGGCTTAATTAGATTCAGGTAAAACATTTTTGGCAAGAGACTGTCACAGAAGATGCTGTGTACTTCATGTTGCATTATGTAAGAGGTGTACACTGGCTGGTTGTCCCACCATCATTGGTGCTCAGTTTGATCACTGGGTTATATGGTGAATGCCAGATCTTTCCAATGGGTCGAGACTCCAATCTGGGCAGTCTGACTCCAGGGTCTGTGCCTCTAACCACTTTGCTATATTGCCTCTCTGTGTAAGAGCACAGGGGTCAAGAACCAAGAGCACACATACAAGCCACAAGGCTAGGATTCAAATGTGGAACCTTCCCCCCCACAAAAAAGCTAATTGTTCCTCTTACTACCTAAAAATGTCTTATCAGTTTAGGGTCTTAAGAAAGGATTTTTGGAACTTGCTATACCTTCCCAGTGAAAGCAAACATCTTCTTCTAGAATTCTCTATTTATTGGGAAGGAGAAAAATATATTTATCAGCTTAAGACCTGGGTATCAAATACCAGGGACTGGGCTGATTTGTTCCAGTAAAGAGATAACTCAGATTGCAGCTGATTTTTGTTTCTATTTTGATTCTTTGTCATTCCCCAAGATCCGTATTGCTTATGCATAGAACAATGAGTAAATGAAATGGGAAAGTGGGCTTTGATGTGGGCATTAATCTCTGATTCTATGATAACCTGGGTTCTGAGGAGAGAGGGTTCTAATGTTGGGAAAGCAGAAACTTGAGATTAGAGTTCTTTTTTTGAAGGAGGTGGGGAATTAGGCCAGATGACCTATAGCCCTGCTCAAAAATGAACTGATACAGATAAATTTTTGGTTAGCAAATTTTCTGAGTTAAGTGTTCTTGTTTTTGTTTTGTTAGGGAAGATTGGCAAACAAATCCACTTGAAGATTTTAGAAAAAAAAAGTGAATAAAGTGCCCTTTCCCATGGCAATCTCCCGAGTCCGGATGTGTACCTTCTTGCTGTGGTACAAGGATCATTGAAAAAATTAGGATTAGAGCTACCCACATTGCTGGATTAGATTAGAACCACAGCATGAGGGCAACTGGGTTAGTGGGCAGGATAATTTTCTTAAAAAAGAGAAACTTGATTCTTTGGGCTTGTGAAGTTGAGTAGAGGCCACAGCTTTGCCCATAGCTTGTCCTCAATTGCTATGCAGGATGGAAAACATCAAAGACCCGCAAAATATCCACATGCTCAGTTCAATATTACGGAATCTGAGTCATTGCTGGGGTTGGGGGTGGGAGGTGAGGACAGGTGGGGAGGGGGTTTATAACACAACCTCAAAGTTATTTTGATTTTAATTCCATTTTAAAAATATATGATACTTTAAAAAGCAAGGTATCAGGGAAAATATGACATGGGAATCTCACACTCACAAAGATTAGAAATAACCCCTGCAGGCCGGGTGCGGTGGCTCATGCCTGTAATCCCAGCACTTTGGGAGGTTGAGGTGGGCGGATCACGAGGTCAAGAGATCGAGACCATCCTGGCCAACATGGTGAAACCTCGTCTCTACTAAAAATACAAAAAAAAGTTAGCTGGGCATGGTGACACATGCCTGTAGTCCCAGCTACTCAGGAGGCTGAGGCAGGAGAATTGCTTGAACCTGGGAGGCGGAGGTTGCAGTGAGCCGAGATCGTGCCACTGCTCTCCAGCCTGCCTGGTGACAGAACGAGATTCTGTCTCAAAAAAAAAACAAGAAATAACCCCTGCAATGATTAGACCAGTGGTTTCAACATGTGGGCAAACCACTTCATGGCCAGATTCCCCATGGCACTTTACTGACTTGCCATATAGTCTTCTTTTTCACTAGTATTTAATTCACATATCTCCTTTTCTAGAGCATTGCTAGGTATTTTTTATACTTGACAAAGGAGCATATTTTCATGACCATATTTAACTCAGAATTACCTAAGCCCTCTTGGCACCTTTTATCTCATTTACTGAGATTGTATGGCCTGCAAATCTGAAAATATCTACTATCTGACTCTTTCTAGAAAAAATTTGCCAACCGCTGGGTTATACTGTACCTTCCCTTGGCTTAATTTTTAGAAGATATATTATACACTGGAGATGGAGCTGTTTCAGCTTGTAAACAATATGTGAAATTAATACTTATAAAGAATCGCTTTATGTGTTGATTTTCACTCATTATTTTCAGAAATTGCATATTTTTTCCCTATAGATTATCATGGAAAAAGTCACAAAAGACTTCATAGACTTAGCAGGCAAGTCAAAGTGAGGGCTGTTTTGGACAAGAATTAAATGTCCTTTTTGGTTGAATCAGGAAAGAGAACAAAATCATGCTCAAGAATGGAGATGTGAGTCAACATTTACTTTTTCTTCCCAAAGTGTCTGTAGGGCCCCCTCAATATCTGGGAGCAAATGGGCCAAATACTTGGGTGTCTCTGCTTCTTTGGTGGCCTTGGGCACCCCTCAAGTTTGTTCTCACCCCCCTGGGCAGTGTGCATTCAGGAGGATCTTGTCACCTTTCCTTGACTCACTTCCTGGTGTACTCTCCGGACAATGATGCCAATTTGCCTCCCTCCATGTGCTGTATTGGGCCAGCCCTCCTTCCGTGTGTTCCATTCTCTGTATCTTCCACAAACTTGTTTTCCTCCATGACAGTCTTACTTGGAACCTGCTGCTGCAGTTCTGGGCTGCAGTCTTTAGGAGCTTTTAGACTCTTCATAGTGGACACATCCACCTCTCTGCCTTGGGGTTTTATTGGGGGCAGTATCTCCGTGCGGACATCTCTGATTTGTTTTCATTGACACCGCTGCTTATGAATACACAAGGGTGTGGGATCAAAATTGCAGATGATGCCCTCATTGCTGACCAGCATGGGGAGCCCTGGCAGTCCTGGTGGAGGCAGTCGTGCAGGACAAGGATGGTTGGCTGTGGTGGGTGTCCAGCTGTGCAAGTGCAGGCTGAGGCCCCTGGCCTGCAGTTGCTACTCAGCTGCCCAGCCCCACGCCACATCCCGGTTCCTGAGCACCACCTTCCTTGGCAAAGTTGATGCCCTTGTTGGCCTGGGTCCCCATTCCACACAGCTGTGTGGGTCGGCATCTGCAAGACAGGAGACTGCGGGTAGACTGCGAGCACCTAGCTGAGAGCAGACTTAGCTGGGAACAGGAAGCTTTTTTTTTTCTTTTTAGATTGTGGTAAAAAAATAATACCATAAATTTACTATCTTAACTGTTTCTGAATGGTTCAGTAATGTCACATATATTCACATTATTGTGCAACAGATCTCTTGAACTTTTTGATCTTGCAAAACTGAAACTATGTACCCGTTGAACAACTCCCCATTCCCTCCTCCCCCAACTTCCATTCTGCTTTCTGTTCCTATGAGTTTTGCCTACTTTAGATAGCTCATCTAAGTGGAATCATACATGTTTGTCTTTTTGCGACTGGCTTATTTCACTTAGCATAATATCCTCAAGGTCCAGAAGCTATCTTTTAGGAATTTCTGTTTTCTCAGTAGAATGGAAAATAAGGTCATTAGCAGGAGTGAGCACATGGAAGAAGGTTTAAGTAGAAAGATGTGGAATATCTGTCTAGGACCGCTGGAAAGCAAATGGACTAGGGAAATAGCCAAGGATTGCACCAAAATGTAAAGTGAAACCTGTCAGTGTAGTCATGTATTTTTTTCCAGACACATTCTGCACTTGTCAAGTAGGTAGACAGTTGTATATAACTAAGCTTGAGTTTGGCCAGGAGAGTTCAACAGAGGGAAAGAGTGGGAGGAAGTTGAAGGCATAAGCATGGGAATGCTTTTGCTGATGTATTATGGGATCCAAAAGTAGAAAAGTGAGAATACAAGTGAAAAAGACCAGTGAATTGCATATTCTGGTGGTGTGGAACTATTGGAATTGCTGGAGTTATTTCTCACCTGGATTACTGCTAAAACCTCTTTAGTAGTTTTCTTTCTCTTTCCAATACATTCTCCCTGCTATGGTCGGAATGATCCTCCTGACACAAAACTGATGGAATCGCTTCTTTTAAACTCTCCCAAGAGCTTCCGTTGCACAGTAGATAGTGACCAAACTTTCTCGCGACTTGAGCACCTGTCTATATCCCAAGCTTTATTCTCAACCCTTCTTCAGCATCTTTAATACTTCCAGCATCTTCAGTTATTTAACAGCTTCTTCCCCTATCACACCTCCAAGACTTTGCATGTGCTTTTATATCTGCTTGGACAAATTATCTCCATCTTCGAACTTGACTTTTACTTATCCATTAGGTCTTAGCTTATAAATTTTACTTCATCCTGGAAGCTTTCCTCATTCTTCCCCAGTCTATATTGAATATCCCTAATACATACTTGCAGCACATCCTGTATTTTTCCATGCTAGTATTTAATACACTTTAGCGTTAATGCCTACTTACTTTCATTTTAATTCTCTGTATTTTCTGTTGAGGAAAGTGACCCTGTTTGAATTTCTCGCCCAATATATGAAGCACTTGAGAGTTTTCAGTGTTTAGTTTGGTTTTGTTTTCTGAGACAGGTCTTGCTATGTCACCCAAGCTAGAGTGCAATGGTGCAATCATAGTTCACTGTAGCGTTGAACTCCTCCCAAGTAGCTAGGACTATAGGCATGAGCCACCATGCCTGGCTTATGTTTTGGTTTGTTTGTTTGTTTGTTTGTTTGTTTTTGTAGATATGGGGTCTTGTGAAGTTGGCCAGGTTGGTCTTGAACTCCTGGCCTCAAGTGATCCTCCTGTCTTGACCTCCCAAAGCACTGGGATTATAGGCATGAGCCACCACACCCAGCCTGGTGGTGTTTTTTTGTTTGTTTGTTTTTGTTTTTAATATTAAAATCCTGGCAAATAGTAGGTACATTTTAAAAGTGATCCTATTTCCTCTTTGAAACCCTTCTTCTCTGAGCTTCCGGGGAGCATCTCAATTGTCTGATTTCCTCAATGGCCAGTTCTCCTCTACCAGATCTCTAGCCTTCTATTCTATCTCTTTGCTATTATTTATTTATTATATTATAAATCCCAAAGTGCTGGAATTACAGACGTGAGCCACTGGGCCCAGCCTCTATTTTCTTTATGTTTGAAATTTTACAAAATAAAGAGGGGAAACAAATTCTCCAGTGTCTCTTTCTCTTCATCTTTTGTTCCCTTCTGTTCCCTTATTTTTTTCTTAAAAAAAAAAAATTCATTGGCCTTCTTCCTTTGAGACAGCCATACCTGGCAGGGCCTGAAGAGCTGGGACCAAGAGGGCAGTCAGAGCTGAGGAAGTGGCTGTGACTGAGGAGGGGATGGAGCCAGCTTCCAAGGTTGAGGAAGCAGTGGTAAGGTTAGAAGATTGATTACAGAGAGGAGTTATGAGCAAGTACATAAATAAGCTGCAAATATGGGAAGGCAGAAGGCCAGAATAAATTTTGCGCTTTTTGATTGGAACTGGAGATATTAGGGTGAAGTCATGGTACTTTAAAATATATACCTAGCTAGGTAGATATAGAGATAGATGTACATATGTTTGTGCATTATGTGTTTTATATATATGTTGTTTATATCTGTGCATTTCCTACTTCAGTCCAATGAGAAGGTGTAATGGAAATAAAAACCTTGTAGCTATGACTACGTTTAGCACCCAGATCTTGGTTCCTAAATACCATTTGTCGCTAAAAGGAACTGGGTTCCTGGGAGAAATGGCTGGTTCCAGGACTGGGCAGAAAATGCACAAGAGGAGCCTGCAACATTTTCATAGGCCAGACAATAAGGAAGAGCTTAAAAAATGATGAAGATGGGAGGCTGAGGCAGGAGGATCACCTGAGGCCAGGAGTTTTAGACTAGCATGGATAACAGAGCAAGATGCCCCATCTCTACAAAAAATAAACAATAAATAAATTAGCTGGGTGTGGTGGCATATACCTGTAGTCCTAGCTACTTGGGAGGCTAAGGCAGGAGGATCGCTTGAGTATAATATAGTAGAAGCCCATGAGTCCACACAGATATAAATGAATGAATGAATGATGAATAGGGAAAAAGAGAAAAGTCTTTATTGCATTAGAATGCTAGTAATAAATATCACCACTTGGCAACTGTCAGGATAATGATGGATTCAGACACAGAACACCAATGGATGCTAAAACAAGTAGGTGAAGGTTTATTGAGGAATGGAACATTTACATAGTGTCAAAGCTTTTCCCCCACAAAATAATGCATTACAAAGGTAAAAATAATAACTTTATAGTGGAAGAATCTGAGAAACAACAAATCTGATATTAGTCAAAGTAACATCACTAGAAATGAGACAAAGTAACATCACATACTGTCTCATATGTCATACTGAGAAGAATACAGCATAACTTCTGTCAGATTCCTATTATAAAGGCATAATCTGAATCTAATCATAAGGAAACAGAGAAACCCAAACTGAGGGGCCTTCTACAAAATAATTAGCCTGCTTTCTTGAAAAAAAAAAAAAAAGTCTGGGTTGCAGAAGACAGGGAAAGACTGAGAAATTATTCCAGACTGAAGTAGATTAAAGAGATATGACAATTAAATGCAACCCATGATTCTAGATTGGATCCTGGACAAAAAGGAGAAAAAAAACTTCCTATCAGGACATTATTAAGATAATTGTAGAAATTGAACGGGATATCTTAGATGAAAGGGTTATATCAGTATTAATTTCTTAGTTTAGATGGCTATCCTGTGGATTTGTAGGTGAACATGGGAACAATTAGGGAACCTTGTATATTCTTGCGTCTTCTCTGTAATTTGGAATGTACCTTAAAATAAAAAGTAAAAACCAAAAAACCCAAAAGAAAAGGCTCCAGTGGATTACTGCCACATTGAGCTCGATAAGCAGACTTCTTCGCTTGGCCCTGCTGGCTCCTGCCTTCATCTCTTTTCACTCTTCTCTTGCTCTTACCTCTCCAGCCACCATCGTCTTTCGCTTCTAGGAGCATGCCAAATGGGTTTCTATCTCACAGCTTTGGCATTCACCATTCTTATTTCCGCAAAAGATTCCTCCTGGTCTTCACGAGCTCCCATTCCTTCTCATTCAGCTGTTGACTCAAATGGGTCACCTTAGGCTTTTTCATTTTTTTCCACTGCATTTTGAGACTTATTTGTTTACCTGTTTGTTTCCTGTCTTTGTTGAGTAAATCTAAGCAAGCTCACTGAGGGCAAGGACTTTGTCTCTTCAACCCAGCATCCCCAACAGCTAGAACAGTGCCTGGTGCAAAATAGGGCTTAATAAGAAATGCTATTGGCTGGGCGCGGTGGCTCACGCCTGTAATCCCAGCACTTTTGGAGGCTGAGGCAGGCGGATTACCTGAGGTTGGGAGTTCAAGACCAGCCTGACCAACATGGAGAAACCCTGTCTATACTAAAAATACAAAAGATTTGCCGGCATGGTGGCACACACCTGTAATCCCAGCTACTGGGGAGGCTGAGGCAGGAGAATCGCTTGAACTCGGGAGGCACAGGTTGCGGTGAGCCGAGACGTGCCATTGAACTCCAACTTGGGCTACGACAGTGAAACTCCGTCTCAAAAAACAAAAAAAACCTATCTAGATGGCTTCAGAAACATTTGTTGAACTGATGAAATACTAAGCTTCTAAAGAAGTCTTTTAGTTTGCTCCTTGGAATTCTAGTCCTTTGACATGACCTAATTAAAAGAAAACAACCACCAAAAGAGAGAGAGAGAGAGAGAAGGAAATCGATGTGTGGCCAAATATAACTGGGAAATACCCCCACCATATCCTCTCTTTGGGATTCACAAAGCCTCTCAGAAACCCTCCTGTAATGAATCCTGTTTGCCTGAATTTAGCAAAGCATTTCTTAAATTTATATGAACATGGAATTCTCTTTCCATTTGATTTCAGAATATGAAATATTAAATGCTATGCTAGGATCTTTCTAAAGTCCATGTTCGATAATAGAGGCAAAAATAACTCTACAATGTATATATGTGTAAAAAAATTTTTTTAATCGTTTTTTTTTCTTTTGAGACAGTCTCACTCTGGAGTACAGTGGCACTATCTTGGTTCACTGCAACCTCCACCTCCCAGGTTCAAGCAATTCTCGTGCCTCAGCCTCCTGAGTAGCTGGGATTACAGGCGCACGCCACCACACCCAGCTAATTTTTGTATTTTCAGTAGAGATGGGGTTTTGCCATGTTGGCCAGGCTGGTCTTGAACTCCTGACCTCAAGCTATCCGCCTGCCTTGGCATCCCACAGTGCTGGGATTACAGGCGTGAGCCACCGCGCCTGGCCTTAAAAATCTGTAAACACATAGGAAGTTGTCTCATTTGACTGGACAATGCAGCCATGCATGGATGCCACATGGTGCTTATTGCAAAGTACTGTTACCGAGCAATAGGCTTGCTTCCTGATGCACACAGAAGCCAGTACTATGGCACCAATTTTTAAGAAAAGAAAAAGCTTTATTGTAAGTTTGACCGGCAAGGAGACAGGAAGCAATGCTCAATCAAATCTGTCTCCCCGAGCTGGTTCTAGGGGCAGGTTTCATAGGCAGAGAGTAACTATGAGGGAGACAGGGAAATGCAAGGAGGCATGATCTGATTGGGTCATGCAACAAAATGGTGTTGGGTCCTTGGTTTTTAAGTTCCTACTGCAACAAAATAGGTTACCCCTTCCTTCTTAATTTGGTCCCCATTTCTTTATCCTGGTATCTACGTTCTGCGCGTGGTTGACTTTTTCATTCTGGCTGGCTCCAGGGCACAAATCGATCACACTTGGTTCATCTGGCCATGCTCAGGTTACATGATTTGCAGCCTGGGAGTCCATTGCAACTGAGAAACCATTCATTATTTTTTTACTGGCAAAGTTGAACCAGATTGTACAGTGGGGCCACCTCTGCATTGACAATCAGATGTGTGATGTCCCTTCCCGCTGGGAACACTGTCTCTGACTGCTGTGGGGAAGGAGCCTGAGAGCGGGTTGTGGATTCTAACCCTGCTGTTGAGTGCAGGAAAGAACTGTGCAGGCAATGGGGCTATTGTGTTTTCATTTCGATCCCAGGAATGAAAGCTCAGCTTAAAAAACATAATTATAATGGACTGTTTTTTTTTTTAACCAATAATTAGTTTTTCTCCCACTAATTTATGTAAGGTATGGTATTCCTAAACAATCATTAATGTATTGTTTTTATACTTTTGAATGACTTTTGAGAATGATTATTATCTTTCTGTGTATACATTGTAATTATTACTAAGGGAGTTCATTTTACATCCATGCTGTACCCATGTTTAGCCTAATTTGGTTTTACTAGCCCCTTGGTACTATCATAGCTCCTCCACCCTCCAAGCAGAAGATTGACTATATTTTAAAACTGGGTGTGAGGCCAGGTGTAGTGGCTCATGGCTGTAATCCCAGCACTTTGGCAGGCCAAAGCGGGTGGATCACCTGAGGTCGGGAGTTCGACACCAGCCTGACCAACATGGAGAAACCCCATCTCTACTAAAAATACAAAATTAGCCGAATGTGGTGGTGCATGCCTGTAATCCCAGCTACTCGGGAGGCTGAGGTAGGAGAATCTCTTGAACCCAGGAGGTGGCGGCTGCAGTGAGCTGAGATCATGCCATTGCATTCCATCCTGGGCAACAAGAGTGAAACTCTGTCTAAAAAAAAAAAAAAAAAAATACAAAAAAAAAAAACTGGATGTGAAAGGAAGAAGTCACATGGTTACTTCTTCACAAGGAATCTCTCTGACGTAAATCTGCATCCTTTCCCTCTTCTCTCCTGGCTGCACCTACCTGCACCTCCCTGCTACTCCTATGTCTCATACACAGAAAAAAGGCTTAGGATTTTTACCAAAGGTCTGGAAATTCCAGAAAAGGCTGCTAGCATCATAATATTTTTTCCCCTCTGTTCACTAAGTCAACAATTTAAACCCTGGTCCATCTCCAAATTCTCCCTCTTCTCAAATGCACCTTTGTTCCCTTTTTATTTTGAGAAGGTTTTTTTTTTTTTCTTTTTTTTAGACAGAGTCTTGCTCTGTCGCCAGGCTGTCATGCAGTGATGCGATCTCGGCTCACTGCAACGTCCACCTCCCGGGTTCAAGTGATTCTCCTGCCTCAGCCTCCCGTGTAGCTGCAACTACAGGCACATGCCACCACGCCCAGCTAATTTTTGTATTTTTAGTAGAGACGGGGTTTCACCATGTTGGCCAGGATGATCTCGATCTCTTGACCTCATGATCCACCTGCCTCGGCCTCCCAAAGTGCGGGGATTACAGGCGTGAGCTACCACACTCGACCTTTTTCTTTTTTTTCTATCAGGACCTAGTCCAGACCTCAGAATTCACAGGAAGTTCAGGTGAGGGAAGGCTGTATGGGGCAGAGGTCTTCCTCACCTATGTATTTTACCACCATTGGGGTAAATGTCGGGTGGCCTTGTTTTCCACATAGGTGTAAAGCATCCATGTGGAAAGGCAATCATGGCCCCAGGGAACCACCTTGGGTGGAAGGCAGATTCTGTCTTTCATGGCTACAGCTTCTCACAAAGGGGAGTCCATATACTTATACCCAGGATAGCAAACCTTCAGAGCCTCTTTCTTCCCCATATTCAGGGGCGGAAGAGAGGGCAGGAAGATAACTGACATGGTTTCTAAATGGCCACATTAAACAATATCCACCTTTGTGTATCAGGTTAGAAAAAAAGACTAATGAGTGGTAAGAGAAGAAAGTGGTTAAAAAGAAAGAATGAAGACAGAAAAAAAATTAAATGTCCTCATAGATGTCTCAGACCAAATACAGTATTTACAGGTAATACTTGTACAAACTTTCTAAACCTGGAAATACACACACTCAAACACATGGACACATGTAATATATAATACAAATAAATATCAATTTATTTTATTGGGGTCAGTGGGTCCCGAGAAGCAATATGGAAGGACGATCACTTATAGGTTTCCATTTTTCAAAGGCCAGCAAGCAGTCCAGGGATACCATAGAGACAGCATTTCTGAATCTAAACAGAGAAAAAGGCTATAAAGGGGCCATTGTTCTCACCTGGAACTTTTCATCCTTACCTGTTTTGTTTTTTTTTTTTAATTTAAAAATATCCCTGCAAAAGCATCTACCTTAAAACGGAATCAGCCAGTATCTTCATTATCAAACAGTTGTTAAAAACAATACACCTCTAAAAGTAGTAACTGTTTATAGAATGATAACGGGGAGGGAGGATACACTAGAGAGAAGAACCCTGCCCCCATCAGCATTTCCTCAAGCCCACTCTAACCAAACCATTTATAATTAACTCCTCATCCTGATAGGAGAACTAGTTCTGCTTATCCCCTCGCTGAAGAACAGTGACTTATCTTGCTGAGGATCAGTGACTCATCTATTGTTTTGGTAGTTAAGATGAAAGTGTAAAGGGCATTTCAAATCAGCTAGAGTAAGAACATGATAGCCATGCTGGTGGCTTCTCCTTTTATCTCTTCTGTGATATAAATACTACCCAAGGCTAAAGGGTGAATATTTGTTAATCTGGTCACTTAACAATGAGTCTTTAAAAAAAGTTGTTGAATTGTTTTTCCATAGGGATCCAAAAGGTCTAGTTATACATAAATAGGAGGAAAAAATGAGAGGAGATGCTTTTAAACAGTGTAGGCCCTCTAAGAAGCAAGGAATGGGAAGAATGTTCCCTGCTGTAGGGTTATGTATTTTACAGATTTGCTAAGCACTGAGTATACCCTCATATTATGTGCTAAGCAAATCTGTAAAATGAGAGAAAACATTCCAACTCAGCTTCCTCTTTTCAATTCTCTCCTCATACTTGTCTTAAAGTCTGCTCTAGAAAAAGAGTATCGGCCGGGCACGGTGGCTCACACCTGTAATCCCAGCACTTTGGGAGGCCAAGGTGGGTAGATCACCTGAGGTCAGGAGTTTGAGACCAGCCTGACCAACATGGTGAAACCCCGTCTCTACTAAAAATACAAAAACTAGCTGGGCATGGTGGCGGGCGCCTGTAATCCCAGTTACTCAGGAGGCTGAGGCAGAAGAATTGCTTGAACCCGGGAAGTGGAGGTTGCAGTGAGCCAAGATCACGCCATTGCACTCCAGTCTGGGTGACAAGATCAAGAGTGAAACTATGTCTCAAAAAAAAAAAAGAAAAGAAAAAGAAAAAAGAGTATCTACCTAGGTTGAAAATTAGAAGATCTCCAAATATGAACCTAGTAAGGGTAAACTTAGCTTAAGTCTTTACTATGCTACTTAGAAGCTGTGTCAACTTGGGCAAATTGCTTAACTTTTGTATGTCAATTTCCTTCTTTTGTGTGGGAAGAAGATACCTGATGGGGATAAAAATAGCTCACCCATTGTATATCAATGTTCTCCTCATGCAACAAATATTTACTTACTCTTACTGTGGGCTGTTCACTTGGGACATAGTGGTGAACAAGACACAGAACTCATCCTCAAGAAGCTTACAGTCTGATGAAAACTTTTATTTGAGTGCCTTACTACGTATGAGTCATGCATTTGCTAAGGACTTTCACATATGTGGCATCAATTAATCCTCACAATAGGAGTGTTATCACTCAGGATTTCTGGGCACTTACAACTTCCACTCTGATTGGCCTGTGGCTGAGTAGTTGTTCTTTCAATAAATATTTATTGAGGGCATACTATGTGCTGGGCACTGTGCTAGACATTGGAGATTTACTGGAGAATCTTGTTGGTGGATCAGCTGTATTCATTGGGCACCTCTCGTGTGAGGTTCTGGTTTTCTCATTTAGTCTTCAACATCGTGGATGTGTGGTAGAAATTATCCCCAGTTTACAGAAGAGGAAACTGAGATTCTGAGGGGTTAAACACAAAGGGCACATAGCAAGGATATTTTCAAGGTTATAGTCTGAACTGCTGTAATAAAGAGACTGCGAAATATAGTGGTTTCATTCATTAATGTTTATATTTCTGTCCCTCTTAACAGGCCACTGTGAGCATGCATTTCAGGTTGTTGGCGCAGCTCTGCTCCATGATGTCGATCTGAAACCCAGATTTTCCTTCTCTTGCCACTGTCATCTCCTGCATGGCCAAAGCTAGGTCACCATCATAGTCATGTTTCAGCCTATGGGAAGGGGGAAAGACAATATTCAAGGCAAGTAGCTTTGTCTCAAAGTAGATGCCCCCAAATTGTGGAAATCCTTTCAAATTACATCCTGCTAACCTGAACTTAGCTGCATGGCCCCATCTAGCTGCAAGCGAGGCTGGGAAATGTAGCTTATGGCTGAGTAGTGCTGTGCCCAGCTGAAACTTAGGAGATTCTACTAATTAGTAAACATAAGGTCACAATGAACACTAAAACAGTTAGTCTCTGGCATAGCTAGTAAGTGGTGAAGCAGGAATTTAAACTCAGATTTGCTTGAATCCAATGCCATGTCACTACCTCTTAGACAAAAGAGCTAGAGAACTCTGGTTCTGTTATCTGTCTGTCTGCAATGTAAAATAATGAATAAAAAAATTTCATTGGCATAGTTTAGGAACAAACAGTTGGAATTGTATGTCAAGTTCCCAAAAATGTGGGGGTGTTAAAATTTTTTTTTCTTATAGATGCCAATGTTTTCTCCACTTTTCTTGAAAACATCTTAAACTTCTAGCAGCCTGGCCTTGTGACTGATATGAACTACTTACGTAAAAGTTATATAAGCTAGAGAAAAAAATATAGCCACTTAAAGAAAGAGGGAGAGAGAGAGAAAGAAAAAGAAAGAAAGAAAGAGAGAGAGAGAAAGAAAGAAAGAAAAGAAAAGAAAAGAGAAAGAAAAAGGAAAGGAGGGAGGGAGAGAAGAAGGGAAGGAGGGAAGAAGGGAAAGAGGGAAGGAGGGAGGGAGGGAGGGAAGAAGGGAAAGAGGGAAGGAGGGAGGGAGGGAGGGAAGGAGGGAAGGAAACCAAACCTGCCATGTCCTTGCCAAATCTGTAACAGGAGATATTTTTAAAGTTGTATGGTGCAGCAAGCTATAAGTTTGCTTAAAGTTAGCTAATGCAGGAAGAGTTACTCAAGAAAACAGTAAAATGTCTTCTTTTTTCTCAAAGCTTTCTCACCACCCAACCCCTACCAACAGAGATCTTTGAAACTATATGTTAGGCTGAAAGAGGAATAAACCATGTTTTCATATTCTTGGCAAAGAAACAGTGATTAACTAGTTTGTTGGGTTTTTTTTGTTTTTTTAATGTTTTAATGGGGTCTTGCTCTGTTGCCCAGGCTGGCCTCAAACTCTTGGCCTCAAGCAATCCTCCCACCTTGGTCTCCTGAGTAGCTTGGACTACAGGCATGTGCTATCACACTCAGCTAGTGATCAGTTTCTTTAAAAAAAGGCAGAGGTTGGGGGAACTCTTTCTATTTCAGAGCAGAAAAAAACACCATGTCTATTTTAAACTACTGTTTCTATGTCACAAGCTTTGCTTGTTTTTATTTATTTTTCTCATCTTTACAAGTAAATTATTATATAGAGTGATGCATAGGTCTAATGGATAACCCAAGCCCATGGGTTCCTTTATAGCTGGGCTTCTTATGGTAAAATATACACTTTTTCTTTCCTTCTGTACACAATCACTAAAGCATAGTTGTCTGGACCACAGTCGACACAAACCCTTTCCCCTTCTTTCACTTTTTCTTTGTCCCTGAAATCTTATCTACTTGATCTTTGCTCCAGTCACTCCAAATGCTTTCTAAAAGCTTACTAAAGATCAGGCTGAGGTGGGAGGATCACTTGAGCCCAGGAGGTCGAGGCTGCAGTGAGCCAAGATCATGCCACTGCACTCCAGCCTGGGTGACAGAGTGATGCCCTGTCTCAAAAAAATGTAGTTACCAAATTCAATGCTTTTATCATTGATTCTTTGATGCTTTTTTTTTTTTTTTTTTTTTTTTTTTTTGACACGGAGTCTCACTCTATTGCCCAGGCTGGAGTGCAATGGTGTGATCTCGGCTCACAGCAGCGTCCACCTCCTAGGTTGAAGCAATTCTCCTGCCTCAGCCTCTCAACTAGTTGGGACTACAGGTGTGAGCCACCATGCCTGGCTAATTTTTGTATTTTTAGTAGAGTTGGGGTTTTCACTGTGTTGGCTAGGCTGGTCTTGAACTCCTGGCCTCAAGTGATCCACCCATCTCGGCCTCAAAGTACTGGGATTGTAGGCATGTGCCACCACACCCAGCCTGCAGCCTTTGATTCTACCAACCATTCCTGTCCTCTCATTTTTTCACATCTGATCTTTGAAAACATTTTACCCTTGACCCTCTGTTCTCTCTGTCCCTCAACAGCCCATTCCTGCCCATTGCTTCAACCTGCACCTCTATGTACATTGTGATGGATCTACCTCTATGGCTCTCCCATGAGGTCCAATCTTATATTCCTTCTTTCTTCCTTTTTTTTTGCTTTGAGACTGGGTCTCACTCTGTCACCCAGGCTGGAGTACAGTGGCATGCAACCTTGAACTCCTGGGCTGAAGTAATCCTCTTGCCTCAGACTCCCAAGTACCTGGGACTTACAGGCATGTGCCACCACACTCGGCTAGTTTTTTAATTTTTCTTAAAGATGGGGTCTCACTATGTTGCCCAGGCTGGTCTCGAACTCCTGGACTGAAGCAATCATCTCGCCTCAGACTTCCAAAGTGCTAGGATTACAGGTGTGAACCACCACGCCTGGCCCCAACGTTGTATTTCTAAGGCATTTCTGACTTAGTGTTTCTATTTAAATGACCCTACCAAAAGCAACAGGTGTTGCAGAGAACATGTTATATTTTTCTCCAAAACCAGTTCCCTCTCCTAACGTTCCTAGTTCTGTCAGTGGTACCACCTATCTCCACCATCCTGGCTTGGAACCTTGGTAAATTAATCCTGATTGCTGGACCCATCACTAATTTCTTCTTTTCCCTAAAGAAGGTCCTTTCTTTTCCTAATCTCCACATCAAAGCAGTCACTAAGTACTGTCAACACTGCCTTCATGATGTTTCTCACATCTTGTGGCTTCTCATCCTTTCCATATTGTCTGCTATCACTATGGTTTAGGACTTAGTGTCTAATCCTTGGATCATGGGAAGAATGGACTTCCTAACTTGTCTCCTACCTCAGGACTTTCTTCCTCTCCCGCGCTCTGTTTCTACCAGAATCCACTCTGTACTCTGCTCCCACGTGAATCTTCTTAAAACATGACTTTCCTTCTATTAATTTCCCCATCAAGAAATCTTTAATAGCTGCCTGATGACTACAGTCCTAATGCTTTACTCTACTTTTTATTTTAACATATGCCAGACATTGATTATTATTGGGTGATTATACTTTCTCATCCCATCCTCAAGTTTATCTATTTCTTTCCATATCCACAGCTACCACCATAGTTCAAGCAGTCACCACGTCTTATCTGGAGTATTACCATTGCCTTCTAACTGACCTCTATTTCTATTCTTGTCTCACTGCAATTCATCCCCAAGTTGGTCCGAGTGTTGTGGGTTATTGTTTTTTTGTTTTGCTTTTTTGTTCGTTTGTTTGTTTGTTTTG